>NC_000010.11:14706969-14858484 GCF_000001405.40 Homo sapiens | reverse complement strand
CAGAAAACCGCTGAAGAGTTGAGGGTATTTTCTTACTGTACCAAGGTCAACACACTAAGAAGACAATTTCTTATTATTAAGTTCTCAAAAGCCTGTGTCTTAGAAACATCTGAAGAGGGAATCTCTAACAAAAATTTCAAACCTAAAACTATTCCGCCTCAACTCAAGCAACTGAGAATTGGACTGTGAGAGATAATGAAATGAGGGGGCTTCATGACCGGTTGGTTAAGAAAGGGAACTGATGCTTATTTGTCACGATATGCAACAGGCTGTGCCACAGACATTTCATTTAACCCTTGTAGCAACCCTATAGAGTAACTTATACTTACAATACTTACTTGTAAGGTAAGTATTATCACTTTCATAACAAGAGAAAGTGTCAGGAAATGAAGCATTTTGCCCAGTCTAGAACTATTAGAACCATGAGGCTTCATGTTTAGGTGGGTCTGTCTCCAAGCCCATGCACCTTCCACCACTGTTTTACTACCATCATACAACATGCCTCATCCTTCACAATCCGCCTCCCAGCCTTCAAACACCTAGCAAAATGCCTGCCACACTGTAAGTGTTAAAAAAAAAAACAAAATATATACTTATTGAACTAAACTGCAAAAAAAATTTGTCACAACATAGCAGACATCAAAAAAACTAAAAACATAAAACTGTCAAAGTATAGACAAGTTAAAAGAAAAGTATATTTCATATTTGCCATACATCCAAGCAAAGCAGCTGGAGGAAACAGAGTCAAAGATCAAGAGTAAGTCAAACACCCTCCTCCCTAGCAGGACCAAAACCAAATAGTGAAGTAAATGCCTCAAAGGAAGACTGCTGTGCATGATAGCTAATATTCCGATTATGTAAAATATTTGCACAAGTTTAAAAAAAAGATTTAAATGATTAAATGGGCAAATAATATGAGATAAAAATTTACACACAAGGAGAAACAAAATTAAATAAACATTTAAAAAAATCCTCTAGTAACCAATGAAATATAAAGTGAAAAGATCTTTTTTCAACAGTCAATTGGAAATTTATCTTTAAATGCTATAACTCAGTGTCGACAAGGCTATAGTAAAATGTATACTTTTATATATTGCTGATGGGAATATTAGTTAATTCAATTCTTTTGGAAAGTAACTTGAGGTAAAAATAGTCTTAAGCTATTTTTATTCTTGACCTAGTATTTTACTTTGGCAATCTACTCTAAGGAATAATCCTAAATATGATAAACGTCTCTGTATAAAGACAGGCATCATTCTCTTACAGGGGAGGAAAAAACCCAACCTATGTGTCTACAACAGGACCACAGTGAAAAACTGACAGTGCGTTTCCTTTTTAGGACATTAGCAATCTATTTCAAATTATGTTTAAAAAGACTATAGTAATATGGGGGGAAATTGGTTATATTATATAAATTAGGCAAAATTCAAAACTGTACATACAGAATTAGAACTGTTATTAAAAAAACTCACAAAACTATAGCTAGCAAACAAACCTATGCATACAAATTATACAAGTTAGAAATACAGCTGCCTTTTGGTATTTTGAATTTTCTTACATGAATACTTACTACTTCAATAATGAAAATTTTAAAAATCATATACATTTTATTTTTATTTTATTTGTGAGATGGGGTCTTGCTCTGTCCCCAGGCTGGAGTGCAGTGGTACGAATCACGGCTCACTGCAGCCCTGACCCCCTGGGCCCAAGTGATCTTCTCACCTCAGCCTCCCAAGAAGCTGAGACCACAGACGCACATCATCACACCCCGCTAATTTTGTTTTTTGTAGAGACAGGGTCTCACTATGTTGCCAAGGCTAGTCTTCTACTCCTGGGCTCAAGCAGTCCTCCCTCCTTGACCTCCCAAAGTGTTGGCATTACAGGCTTGAGCCATCGCACCTGGCTCATTTTAAATGTATAAAAAGAGTATGTTCAATGAAGAGAAATAATTTTGGGGAAAAAAAAGAAAATACTAAACATTTGAATTTTTTTGAAAGTCTAAAAATATGTTCCTAAGCAAGGAACGGGAAGCAGCCTGGTATACTAGTTATGAGGAGACACAGGAACAATACTGGGTTAAATCTTGGCTCTACTACTTACCGTGTGATCTTGAGGAAGCTACTTAATCTCTGTACCTTGGTGCCTTCACGTACAAAACTAGGATAAATAATAGTGCTTACCTTGGGGATAAATAGTAGTGCCTACCTCAGAGTTATTGTGAGTATTCAACAAGTTAATATGTGTAAAACTCTTGGAAAAAGTGCCTGGCACATAGCAAGTATTCAAATATCTTTCTGTCTATGCTTACAGATAAAAAATATACTGGAAAGGAATTATTCTGTTTTGCTAGGAAACTGAATATATACAAATGAGTTCACCAGAGCCATTAATCAAAATTTCATCAATTTTTCCTTATTCATTAACACAATCTAAGAAAATTCTTAAATGCATTAAAATATTCTTTCAGTACCCAGAGCTATTTCCTAAATTCCAAGTCTGAAACTACACCTAAAATAGTTAAGAAAAATGTAAAAGCATTACCTTGTTGATATCATCTGCTGTAAATCCATTTTGATCTAAGAGTCCTCTGATTGCTTCTATACACTTATTAAAAAGTGGAGAACAAAGAAGTTCAAATCTTGCTCTGTACACACATACACACACACAGAAACACACAGACACAGGGACAAGAGAAAGATAAAACGGGGCTCAGTACAATCAAACAAATATCACTTTTCTTTTTCTTGTGAAGAGTAATGCCAAAACTTAATATGATAGTTCTCTGAATGACAGGTTTACCATAAGAATAAGGTATTAAGTAAGAGTGATGCAATATCATGGAGACAGGAGAGTCTAGGTCATTCACCTACATATATATGAAGATAATATCAAATTCAAGTGAAAGCCCATCTTGCTTATGGTCTACTTATAAGCTTCCAAAAAATAACAAATCTAAAAACACATACCCATATAGCATTCCCAACAATAAACCTACTGACCCTAATCAAACCATCATTTGAAAGTTTCTGCCATTTTTATATGTTAAAGTTTTAAACATTATTTCTAATAATTTTCCTTGACAGTTTGAGACCATGTTGGACATAAGTTTAGCCCCTCCGTACTCCCTGAGAAATTGAATGCTGGCAGATAACAAAGTTTTAAGAAAAATTTATGGTCATGAAAAATGTACTCCCTAATCTTCATACAGAACTTCTTAAATGCAGATGAGTGGCTTAAAAAATAATGTTATCTATTAATATCTATAAACCTTATAGATATTAAAGCATACTTTTATGGTTGAAATCTTTGTGACAAAGGCAAAATTTCCCTAATGAAAAATTATAAATTTCATTTCCTTCTTAATTACTGATTAATAAAGCAAATATATACCGAGGACTTGGACAAACTTAACCCTAAGGAATTCTGGAACTAGAAAAATACACATACTCTGTCCAAAAAGAGATTCTAATTCAATGCAATGCCTTTTCTATCTTTTGAGTTGTAGCCTGAACTCTTTCTTCAAAGATCTGGAGCATAGCTGTCCAACAGGACTTTCTACCAGTCACTAGCCACATGACTACTGAACATTTGAACTGCAGCTAGTGCTACTGAGGAACTGCATTTTTAATGTTATCCTAATTAAGTTAAATTTAAGCAGCCACAGGTGGCTAGTGGCTCTTTTATTGGGCAGTGCAGATCTAGAGTCTTCATGAAGGCCCGGGGAAAGTGAAGAAGCTAAACTAAACAGATGAAAAGAGAATTTAACCAAATACAGTCACTAGAATCCTAAAAAAATATATACTGCAGTCTTGGAAATTTTCACTATGCTTCAAAGTCACCTATTATGTTGTTGAGAGGTTTGAATAGGCCGTATCATTATTATTAGCAAATATGCAACACAAAGACTACAGCACGTCCTCCCTTTGTACTTTATCACTTGTAGGATCTAGGTTGAAGGTTCTAGGATGCCTTTGCACACTCCTAATTGTAGCCATAAAATAACAGGGCAAGCAATCACAACTTATGTAATTACTCTGGTAACAGCTATTTAGTCTGACAAAAACTGGACCCCAATAAAGTGAAGACATTATAGATGGTTGATAAATCTCAAACAAACAAACAAAAAACCCAAAGTAAGAAAATTATACCTAAACAAACATGTTCTTGGAATTTTTTAAAAAAGTTTTTTGAACTTCAGTTTTACCTGGACACATTGCAATCAAAATCTTGACCTTCATATAATGAGTCAAGAAAACAGTTGGCACTTCCCAAGGTTGACAAAGAATGTTTCGCTACTTCAGCACTGTTCGTTAATTTCATCATGGCTCGCGCATTTCCTCTCACATCATGTTTGAAGGATCTAAATTAAAAACATAGCCTTTGGGGTTTAAAATTACTGGGCCATTTACAATATTGTAACTAAGATCTGGATAATCCTTATTAAAACAATAATAAATTAGTGAATCAGGCCGGGTGCGGTGGCTCACGCGTGTAATCCCAACTTTGGGAGGCTGAGATGGGTAGATCACCTGAGGTCAGGAGTTCAAGATCAACCAGGGCCAACATGGTGAAACCCCATCTCTACTAAAAATACAAAATTAGCTGGGTGTGGTGGTGCATGCCTGTAATCCCAGCTACTTGGGAGGCTGAGGCAGAAGAATCGCTTGAACCTGGGAGGTGGAGATTGCAGTGAGCCGAGATTGCACCACTGCACTCCAACCTGGGCGACAAGAGCAAAACTCTGTCTCAAAATAAATAAATAAATAAAATAAATTAGTGAAACAATATTTTATTCCGGATTTTAGTATTTCTCTTCTAATCCCTCTAAACTTTCCTAAAACACTCTGTGCAATTAAAGGGGTCACCTCAAGAAAAATGAATTACCAATTTCCTTAATACTCTGAATTGCTACATTATGTAACCATGAACTGCTGCATTATATAATTGTAATAATAGACTGTACTCTGAAGAAAGTAGAGTAGATATCACCCTTTTCCAGGTGAGACACAGAGGTTAAAGGAGATAAGGAGATTTATGTAAGAGCGTCAAAGTCTCCTATTTTACCCTTTATAATCACAGCACAATCACTGTTTAATGGCATAAAATTATTTGTCAAGCATTAAAAAGAAAAAACAACCTACAAGTGTTTCTTCAAAAAAATTTGACACATACAACAAAATATGTAAAATTACATTCCACTATCTCCAATATGAGTTCATGTTTAAAACTACTTACTAAGTAGTGATCAATGACTTCATTTAAACAACATCTTTGTAACAAAAAGCAGTATAGGTCTTTATCAAACAAGTGAGACATTATGACTTTTTCAAGACTTCTTCAACCAATTAGGTTAGTCAAACTGGCTAAAATACCATTTCAATTACACTTTTTTTTTTTTTTAGAGCAGCAGTACCCAAAGTATAACCTTTACATATCTGACTTTTGTAACATCCAAAAGGGTTAGAATTTTAGAGTAATTATATCCAGTAACAAGACTGAAATATTCCTAGCAGCAGATGAGTAATTAAGATAAATATTCCATAAGACAATAACTCACTGGAATATGAAGATAACATAATGCAATCTTCACCAGAGCCAAACTTTTAAAAACTGTTCAGAAGGCAATGAAGCCTCAGTGCCTATACACTCCTTTAACCAGACAGAAGAGCACTACATGAAGAATTAAAATCTACGTTCATGCAGTTCAGTATCTGACGGTCTCTTTACACTAAGTGAAAAATCCAAGCACACTGCACTAGGCAGCCTGGCCTCTGCTTCTTTGAATTGCCTGGACAGGACATAACTCTAGATATGAAAATATCCAGTTTCCAAGCAATGAAAAAACCACATCCTCCTTTGCAGCAGGATAACTTAAAATAAATTAGGAAAAAAAATTAAAATATGTGAAGGAAAACCTCAATCAGAAGGTATTATTCAGGCCATTAACACTCACCTTTGGAACTCAGAAGCTAGATACTGTGCTAAGGTTTCTGTGAAATGTGCACCACCGATGTTATCATCAGTGTTTGTTGAAAGAACCCGATATATTCCACTGTTAACTTCCATGACGCTGAGAGATAAGGATGTTCCTCCAAGCTTAAACACCAAAATATTGCTTCAAGAGAAGATAAAGTAAGTTATCAGGGAATAACATTTTAAAACTAAGTTGGATATTAGAAGTCACTTAGTTTAATCCCTTTAATTTACAAATGAGGAAATAGAAAATCTCAGGTGAATAACTAAGTTGTCTATAGTCACTTATTGACAAATCAAGCCTAGATCTGAGATGTTCTGCAACCAAATCAAAGTTCTTTTTTCCTCAGTCATGTGGATACAACTGTATTCTTCTGAGTAAGGAGTTCAAAACACGAACTTTTCAAAGTAAATCAAGAGATCTGTGATTATAGTGAATTTTAAGAGAACTGAACATAGAAATTCTATGTGTTAATCTTATGCAAGTTACTATGCAATTGCATGTTCTGTAGATATATTACATATGCAAAATTAGGAGCTAATTCCCGATTCCCCATGTATTAAAACTCATAATTTGATATTCTCAGATTTATCTAAAAATAATTTCCTCATGATGTACACATATTTCTTTGCTTAACTAGGAGATACGAATAATGAGGTGAAACAATTATGTAAAATTAACACTGCATCTGAATTAACTTCTCTAAAGTTGAACGACTATCCATTCTATTAAGACATATTGACAGCTATATTAGGGATAAGTATGTTCTAGTATTTCACCATTAAAAGAAGTCTCAAAACCTCATGCTAAATCCATCTCCTGCCCTGTCAAATGTATATAACAGTACCTATTATCTGCAAACATGTCTAATAACTGGAATTGGTAGAAAAATCAGCAGTGTCGTAGCTTGAGTTGGAAACTGGCCAGGCCTCGAACTTTCAAATCTTCCCTCAAAAAAGGGACAAGACAAGGGCATAAAAGCTCAACCTTCTCTCCCATTACATTCTTTCTGTGCTTTCCTAGGACATCTTTCTCAACTATTTGAAAAACTCTAGGCAAGAGTCTGTTTTTCCATCCAGAAAGGTTTGGAACCACTGCATTACATAATAATCTTTACTGATATAATCTCTATAATCTAAAATGTTTTCTGCACTCAAAAAACCTAAAACTGCAAATATGATCTTTACCTTTTTCCAGTAGGGGAGTCTTGTCCAATTCCATAAGCAAGAAGAGCTGCAGACGGTTCGTGAATTAATCGCAAAACATTAAATCCAGCAGCTCTAGCTGCTTCTCTGTGAACAATTTGCTTTCAATGAATTTAATTTATCACATGTTCAATTCTACATTTTTAGAAATGATCTGCTAAAGATTTTATACAAAAGCTACTAAAATTTCATAAGTAGAACATGAAGTATAATGATCTTTAGAAGCAAGAATATAGAAAACAAGAAATGAATGACTATAAGAGATCACTTTCTGTTTAAAATTGTAATGTTCAGAGCCCATATTCTTCACAAAGAAAGCAAAAAGCACACGTACTGAATAAGAGAAATAAAGCTCTCAAAAATATCCATGTTTAAAAAAAAAAGTTCAAAAGATGAGAGTCTTTTGGGGCTCTGAGAGTCTAGGACAGGTGTCCTGTCTTCATGCTATCCAGAACTTCCCCATTCAAAGTACTTGCCACATTTTAACGTAATTATCTTGTTAATTCTGTGACATCAGAAACCATGTCTTATTTATCTCTATTTATTCAACCTTCAATACAGTGTGGCTTAAACAGTAATCAATACACATTTATTGAATGAAAAAAATGCCTATGCAAAAACTGCAGAAAGACAAATTTATAGAACACTTGAAAATTTCCAATTTCTTTAATCTAGTGTTCAGTTTTTAAAAGTACATAAGGCAATTCTCTGCCTCAGAGGCAACTTCAATGCCCAGAACCTTGTGTGAAACTCTATCCTGCAGAGCAAAGGCATAAAAGCACACCAATACATTTGCATAATGACCTGTAAAAACTATAACTTTTCTGTTTAGATGTTAAGATCTAAGGTGAAGAAATAAGCACAAATATTTTCTAAAACTGCACATGTAATTCCTACATAAACCTTAATTACACAAAATTAAGGCAAAGAGATTCATAAATGTCAATTTAACCTGGTAATTTAAAATGTTTCCGATCGAAACAGCTGAAGGTACACCATATTTAATTTTATGTTCTCTTGGCTTTTTTTTTTTTTTGAGACGAAGTCTCGCTGTCACACAATCTGGAGTGGAGTGGCGCGACTTTGGCTCACTGCAACCTCCACTTCCTGGGTTCAGGCGATTCTTATGCCTCAGCCTCCCGAATAGCTGAGATTATAGGCACCAACACCATGTCCAGCTAATTTTTGTATTTTAATAGAGACAGGGTTTGGCCATATTGGCTAGGCAGGTCTCGAACTCCTGACCTCAGGTGGTCCACCCGCCGCCCCCCCGTCAGTGTCCCAAAGTGTTGGGATTACAGGCGTGAACCACCACACCTGGCCTCTTGGCATTTCATCAAATATATACATATAAAAATGATCATTACCTTACTAAATTATTTACAAATACAATTTTATCGCCTAAGGTACTTTAAAATACAATGTTACCTTTTACTATATAGTGACTTTGTACTTCCTTTAATTAAGCCAGTAAGATAAACCCCATATACTTACCCAAGAGCATTTTTTTGCTTTTCTCCAAAATCAAACGGGACAGTAATAACTACATCATTTGCATCTGAGCCCAATACAGAATGTGCCGTTTCTGCATATTAAAAAATATAAAATTCTGATGACAGAAGAAAATGACAAGTGATACTTTCTGAGGTTTATTAATTTATGACAAAGATCTCACTTAACATATTTCCCAATACACTTGCTTGCCCACCCCGCCCCCGTGTCAATTTTCTTCTCTGCGCTCTGAAATCATGCAGCACTTCTTGTGGTTTTGGTGATATATTTGGACACAGAATTAGCTTTCCAAACAGCCTGGCTCTTAGGCTTCAGTATCAACCATCTTCTGAATTAGACTGACTCCATGGAGAATAAGCTCCTAACGCATCCATGTGAAGACACAACGTCATAATGTTAGTTCTCTACATTTAAAGCCTGCCTTCCAACCCCCAAGTTCTTAACATCATTACAGGGCTGAAGGAAGCCTTATAAACAATCTATTCCAGAATTTCCCAAATTGTTCGACAGAATACCACTCAGCTCAGAGCCTCCGTCTGAACTGCTGATAAAATCAGACCTACTTAGTCTGCCTAAATTATTGTTCACAGTATACTGTCGATCTTGAAGTGCCACTATTCACCAAGCTTACTCGGCCACTAACTATGTTTGGAAAACTCTTATTTGGCCTAATTCATTTATATGACTTATAGGGAAATCACAGTCAGGTAAGGCAAGTCATTTAACCACGGGCACATACCCAGTTAGTGCCCCAACCAGGTCGACAGTTTATATGTCCTTACTTATCTGTGCAATCACTCTGCTTCTCCCAAGATCTAAAAATACCTCTAACTTTTTTTTTAAGGTCAACTTTCAAAAGATCATTAAAGGTAACTATTATATATCTTTTGCTAAATACCTTTCATTTTACTAAATATCAGTCTGGCAACATCTTCTGGGTTAACAAATTTTGTTTCTTCTCCAGTATCTATTTCATATCGTAATTTCCCATTTTTTTCAATGACCTATAAAATAAATTACAATTATGCTAAATAAATAATTTTTAATAAAAATGCAAAGTTTCAAATCAACATTCCATGTTATCACCTTGGTAATTACTCTATGTAACAGGGAAGCAATAACAGAACCATACTCACTAAACATTTACTTTCCGCGATGTATTTCTGAGCTTGTGGATCACTGGAGCTGTCCATAAAGAAAGATAAAGATAGCTAAGTATTAAAATCAGTATTGTAGATATATAAAGTTTAGAGAAGACTGTATTTCACAATATCACTGAACAAATACTAAAATATTAACAAAGTTATTAAGCTGCTTAATACTAAAAGTCTTCAAATATTACAGAAGATAGAAATGGAGTATTTATAAGGGTTATAGTAATTCTACTAAAGTACTGATCTTTGCATTTGAAAATAAATAGCTTTCTTGTTCTGGCTGTGCTATTAATAGGTGCTATATATTTTGAGGTGACTTTTCATAATATCCATGATTTTGTATCATAGTTTCACACCTATGATTCTGAAGACCCAACCACTGAGATGAGAAAGTTGCAAACTAAAGGCAAACCAAACTAGCTAAGACCATCTTCGTTGCTTGGTTTCTGAACACACACCAACTCCAGAAACCAAAAGGTTGAGCAAAACTATGAATGTTGTTTATAGAAAGGTGCAGAGTACTATGCATATGCATATATATACAGATATAAGCAACTTATGCAGACTACAAAATGTTTTCACGTACATTATCTCACGTTATCCTCACAACACCTAAGTGGGGTGTGTTTGGCAGGTATTATTTTAGAGATAAAGAGCTTCAGAGAGGGACAATAACTTATAAGCTAACAAGGGGCAGAGTCAGTACGTGAGCCTAGGTCTTCTCTATCACGCTACTATTATTCATACTTTAGCAGGCTGCCTCCCACTCATCTTGTAAATGATCACAGTTCTTCTGTCCCTTGAGCGGGATAGAAATCTCTGATTCTTGGCTTAATGTCATCTAGAAATTAAGATAAAATAGACTAGTATCCTTTCATTAAACCCTTCTTCCAAGGAGCTGTGACTATTCTATTTGTTTAATAAGAGAAGTTGAAAATTAATAGTGGCTAATTGCTGAAGGGTTAGAGCATCTGGAGACCTTAACTTGTTAAGAGGCAGACAAACGGGGTTTAAAATGGACTAATTTGGCTTAGAACTCTGGAATACTTGCAGGTTCCTCATACTTCCTTCTCTGTCACCTAAAATATCAATAGGACAAGAGGTAAGTAGCTTGCCCAAAGTCACACAGCTAATCAATGGCATAACTGGCTGGCATTCAGAACTTCAATACAAAGTTTAGTATTCTTTCCATTAAACTCTTTGCTTCTTCCTTTTCCTAAACTCAGTATTTAATATTAACTATATCCCAAACACTTTAAGAATAGGAAAAATAGATAAAGTGTGCTCATAGCGGGTTTTGCACCAATATTAGAATTTCAGCATGACACTTACTAGTTCTGTTTTCTTTAGAATTTAAGTCAACCAGAACAATTTATACTGTTGTGCGTAGGTTGTCTACCACCCAGACAAGAGAATTTGCCAGGAAGGATATTTTACAGAATTTACAGAACTCTTAAGAAATGGAAAATTATTTCTCAACTGCTTTATAAAGAGGGCCGCTCTCCTCTGAAGACAGAAAGCACATATAGCTCCGAGGGCTGCAGACATGCAAGACCCTTAGCAGAGGAGAAAGCAAAGCAGAGAATGGAGGCAACAAAGGACCACAGACATCATCACAAAGTAGTGGACTGACCCACAACTACATACAAGTGAAAACTTTATTTGTCCACACCAGGATTACCGAACAGAAAAACAAAGGTGGTGAGAAGTTGGTATACATAGCACCTTATTTACATGATGGACTTGAGGAGGCAGTTAATCCTATGGTTGTGTATCACAACCTTTATTAGCAATGCCATCTTCTCTTCCTCCTCCTACTTGAATATCCCTTACGGTCAACAGCCCACGGGCTTGGCACACACCAGCACTAATGTGCTCCAGAGTCTTTCCCCTACTTGTTACATGACAGTGCCTTACATGTCTGAAAGTGCTCATACATTCATCTGTTCCTTTGATCCTCACAACACCCCTGTGAGGTAGGTAGGACAATTATGAGTTTCCCACTTTATAAATGAGGAACCTGAGTTATGGAATGCTGGAAAAGCTTTTCTAAGGGGGTTCAAGTAGTAATGGTTGGGTCTACCACATAGGCAGATTCCTGGCTTGCTTTCTTGCACACTGTCTCCCTGTATTCCAATTTCCCTCCCCTTAATATTTTTAGCCTATTTTTCTGTGTACTTATTCAAGACCTTTCCCTTGACTTTTATTCCCACATTAGGGTTACTTTACCCATTGAATTTCACAATACCACATCCAAATATTAATTCCAATGCTCTTCTTCAGCACTCCTTTCATCTCAAAGAAATCCCTGTCTTATGCACTTTGCTACCATTAATAGATTTATAGAATACAGGCCTAACTCTCCGTCAAGTACTTCTGTGTTTCCAGAAAATCTACCTACCTACCTACCTACCTATAATTGACACATATCTTTCCATATAATAGCCTAAGACAATTGAGAATGAATATAGCTGTATCCATTTCAATGCCTTAAATATATGCTCTTTTAAAGTAAAGAGTCTATATGTCTGGTGTGGCACTTAGAAGTTCATGAGCATATTAATAAATATTAATACCACAGAATGCTACCTTAAAATTGTTACCAGTATTTCAAATATACATATGCTGCTGTGACAGAAAATATTACAATTAAAATTTCGTTTTCATTTTGTCTTTTATTATGCTATTTCAAATTTTTTTAGAGCTGGAAGGTACTAGGAAAAAAAAAATCTAATACAAATCCCTCAATCCGGAGATAAAGAAATTGAGGCATGAATTGGCTGGGCACGGTGGCTCACGCCTGTAATCTCAGCACTTTGGGAGGCCGAGGCAGGTGGATCACCTGAGGTCAGGAGTTCAAGACTAGCCTGGCCAACATGGTGAAACCCCGTCTCTACTAAAAATACAAAAATGAGTTGGGCATGTTGGCATGCACCTGTAATCCCGGCTACTCGGGAGGCTGAGGTTGCAGTGAGCCAAGATTGCACCACTGCACCCCAGCCTGGGCAAAACAGTGAGACTTTTTCTCAAAAAAAAAAAAATAATAATAATAGAAAAGGGCAAGTGATTTGTCTGATGAAACAAACTGTGACAGGATTCCAATCCAGGAATTCTAACTAGATTCCAACATATTCTACCACACCAGCCGCCTCACACCTCCATCCCTGGCTTGGCAGAGCAGCTCGCTTGCCGTCTACTCATGGTTCTGGGTACGCTCCCACTGCTGCTCTGACCATTTCTCCACCTATGTCCATTTCCAGCATTTAGCTAAGCACTCGAGCCTGCAAGATAGAAAATAAAACCTCCCCCAACATGCCCACTCTTTGTTATTTTTCCAACTTCTAGATTATTGGAAAACTTTTTAAATCCTAAAGATTCCTATTTGTATTCCTAAAAGTACTAAGTAAATCACTAAAAGCTTTAAGTTAGTTTAATGACAGAGAGTAATGTCTTCCCTTCTAGAGTAAATCGGAAGTGTGGCTTATCACCTTCATCTCTCCCCAGTGTGTGTCTGGGGTGTGGAGGAGGCTCATCTGTTCACGGCTAGTGCTTAAAAGGAGTCATCTATTGCAGGCAATCTTTATCCACACCATCCTCTAGTGTTCCCAAAGTTAAAGAGGAAACAAAGCTGTTCTCTTCCACCAGATGCCATTAACTACATAAACTTCTGTCTACAACATCTGAGGAAAAGGAATCTTGGAAAGCTCCTCAAAAGGAAACGTTTCTAGGGCTTGCCCTGTATAACATACTAGACAAAAAAATAACAGAAAAGAATGAAATCAGCTAAAAAGCGGATGGGAAACTGATATAATCTGAATTGTTTCCACAATGTTCCAATGGCAACCGAAACTTAAAGATGTAATTTAGGCATATAAAGGGACCCAAATAATATGAAATGCAAAGAATTTACATATATTTAATATTTTATAAAATGGCCAGTATTTTATATTGAAGATTATCGATATAAACCGTAACACACAATGGCGGCTCCCTGGCACTTCTTATTTCCTTATATTGATAGGAGACTAAGAACCAGTAAAATGAAGGAGAGAAAGACGGTTTGACAAAACAGTGCTTACTAGTAGATATGTCAGATACACAGCAGTGGAAATGTAAGAGATTAAGGTACAAATACAGGTTGTGCTTATAGTCGTCTAATGAGCCACACAGGGATTTTAAAAATTAAGATTTCAAACTCCATGAAGCAGTCAAGTTAGACCAGCAAAGGAAAGATTCAAGCAATGAAGTCACAGTATATATCCATACTTCTGTATCTTGTAAACCAATCTGCCTTACCTCAGCCAAGGCCATATGAATTAATAACTTAAATGTGTACAGTGCTTTTAAACTTTTAAACCCTTTCACATCTATGAACTACGTGATCCTCACAACAACCCTGTGAGGTAGGCAGGGCAGGAGTTATTATTGATCCCCATTTTACGGATGAGGAAACCACTGGAGGGAGGTAAACTGCTTCACATCTGTGACAAAGCTAGGATGAACCAGCTGTCTAGAACGTGGCTCCATCGTTTTCTATTAGGTCACCCCTGGCATTTCTGAAAGGTCTTCCATTTGGTGGAGAATCTTGGGAAAATGAACTAGCAATTATTTTCATACTATCTGGATATAAATGGTTCATCCATGTTTTTTTCTGAGGACACAGAAAAGGAGCCAGGGATTCAGAAGGCAGGTTTGGGAACTAGACTTCTACCAGTTTAGGAAGCAGAGCCTTTTGTAATTGGTTCCTAGCTTTTGGTATTCGAAATCAACCTCTGAAGCAATTTTTCAAGGCCTAGCTGAAAAGCACCAGTTGCCTCTTCCACTGCTGTTGCCAAACGTCTGACTGCGATGACAGCATCCCTGCGGAGCTCATTGGCAGTATCTTGCTGAGCACTGGCCTCCTCACCAATAGCAATCAGCCTGTCCAGTTTTTCTTCCTCCCGCTTTGAGAGTTCTCGTGCCAATCGCCTGTTTTCTGCCAACTCGGCTGCGATAGTCCTGGCCACTGACCGCCTTCTTCGCCTTGCCCACCTTGGAGGGGGCTCACTGGTCAAGGGCCTATCCCCACCAGAAACAAAACCAGCTCTCGAAGAGGAGACTGGAGTCTGCGGTGTGGAGGCTACCCCAGGAGTGCTGCGGTTGGTGCTGGTGCAGGGGCTGGGCTCCCCGGACACACCCAGTCTGGCCATGGGGCTGCTCTGACAGGGAGCAACTGCACCTCTGAAAAGGCTGTGGGAGCTGCTGTAGCTGGGGGTCCCTTGAGAGCACCCTGAAAAACAAAGCAACAATGTTGCAAAGAGAACATTCCTGCTAAGGGAATGCTTGGAGCCAGCAGCAGAGCTGAGACAAATTATAAAACTATGGTTGTTCCTGGAAAGCCTCTTTCCACCAGGGACTGGGAAGAATCCATTTCCTTAATCTGGACAATTGTGACCTGTTTGATTTCACCTCTAAAACTTCTCCCTTGCCTTCCTGAACCCCTTTGTACATAGCTATCCAACCCACTCTAGACCTACAATTTCCTGACTACCAGTTATTAATAATGCCAGAACTAGTTTGGTTCTAGAGAGCACTTCTAGGTTTAAAGGGTTCTAATACCTTATGTTGCCAGGGGCATAGCTTTTGAAAACCTGGAACCCTTTAGCTTACTATTAGGTTTTTGAAAAGGTGCGTGGGGCAGAATGAGGCAGAAACAGGAACTATGCTGAAGAGGACACTATCCAAACAGACACAGCTAAATGTTTAGAGCCACAAGACTCTGGGACCCAACTCCTTCACATGCTTGGGAGTTACCTGCACCCGAGGATTCATCCCAGGAGTCCTCAAGGTCACTGGTTTCTCGTATCCGGTCACTGATTCTTAGCTGACAATCCTCATCTGATGCCTTAACTGTTTTCAAGATAGGCTGATGATCAGCTGCCTGAGTCCTTTTTGATTTTAGAATGCCGGTTCCCTCTTCCCCTGGGGCGTCAGAGGCCACTAAGTTCTGATCACAGTGCTTGGCCCAAGCAGCATCCTCCATTAAGTTGTCTGGGTCAGTCACTATCTGATTTCGGAGAAGCTGATCCAACGTATCATAAAATGGACAGTGTGGTGGCTCACCCATACTTGTGGCATGGGCAACATAGGCCTTTAAATATAATGCCTTCAGAACTTTAAACTTGGAGCGGCACTGACGTTCGGTGCGGCGGAAGCCCTCCTGCTGCATTCGCTTAGACACAGCCTGATAGACATCTGCATTGTGATGCACAGTCTGGAGGCGCTGAATATACTCTGCCTCGCCTAGTATGGAGAGAAGAGTTCGTGTCTCCTGTCTGGACCACCGGATGCCCGCACTGCTATTGGCACTGGCCATTGTGGGTTGGAAAGGAGGGCTAGGCAGCTTCTGGACAGCAAGGTGCAAGTCTGAAGGTGTGGGGAAGCTCTGTGTGCTCTCAGGATATCTCCAGGATCTTCCCTCTCAGGGATAATTGCTGAGAAGCCAGGTCCAAGGACCGCATTTCTGGCTGGAAGGCCACAGGGGAATGAGAGTTACAGGAAGGGTGTAAGGATAATTTTGGCAGCAAGTTAAGTGGTGCTACCTGTGAGTAGGTCATAAACAGGCATGAGGCCAAGACTGAGATAGCCCAACTTTGGGAGTTCACCCAGGGTAGACACGGCACCAAGAACCTAATGGCTTGGTAACAAAAAGGCCAAATGCTTTCATGGCTGAGAGTTGGTACAACAATGGATCTGTAAAAATCACCCTTGTCTGGTGAGTAGATGGGCTGGGAGGGAAAATCACCTGGACCATGAGGCAGCTAACGCTAAAGGAGTCCAAGCATGACCACGGTATAGCAATCTGAAAGATGCTCAGTCTTTACTAATCACAGCACGCTGTGGCTCTGTGTTACCCATCTGACTGTCAGTGTGGGCCAGAAAAGTGAGTTTAAGTTGCTCTGCTAATACAAATTTTTTTTTTGCACAATATGGCAGAAGAAAGCCACATAATTACTCTAACCATGTGCCCTCAAACAGCAGCATAAAACAAACAGTAACATATTGTTGGCTACCAGGGGAGAGATCTATGGAAATGTTCTGTATCTGGACTATATCGATGTGAGCATCTTGGTTGTGACACTGTACTATAATTTTGCAAGATATAACCACGGGGAGAGGTGGTGAATCCAGCAATGTGTTTGATGTCTCTGTATTATTTCTTACACAGCAGCATGGGAAACTGCAATTCTCTCTAAATAAAAAGTTTAATTAAAAAAATCATATTGTTGGCTGCTCAGTGATTTGGGCTTGAAGACCCATCTACGATTCTTTTTTCTAGACTTTATGATCTGAAAATATTTGACACCAACTTATATTTAATATGCTCGGTACTAAGTTTTATCAATAGGTAAAAGGATATGGGGATGTATTTATTGTCACTGAATATTGAATTCTCTCCAAACAACTATAGTTTTTGGCTTAGTGCATAAGTATCCTGAGGAAAAAGATTAATATCAAGTTCAATTTAATTGAACACAGGTAAGAGACAGAAAATAAGATAAACAGGTAAGAGATACCTGCATAAATTTAATCTATAATATCCAATTCTAAATCAACACCAGGACATTTTTACTTAAATTCTCACTAAACAAAGTTGAAAGAAAAGAACCTGGGGCCGAGGGTGAGGAGACCTGATCTGCAGTCTTACCCAGTTTACCCCCTAGGATAATGCCACAATTTCTTTGTACCTTGATTTTCTCATCTATAAATGGGGAATGATAGTATTTGCGTTGCCAATTTTACAAGGATGTTGAGAGAATTAAATAAAATAATAGATGTGAAAGCACTTTGAAAATTTAAAAACACTCTATCAAGTATTACTACAGTAGTGAAAATGAAAACCCCTAATTATTATAGCAATCTATAATTTGAGGAGACAGAAGTCTGGGGAAGCAAGCCTGTTTTAATCTTCTAATTAAACTTACAACAGATGATTAATCTGATTCTTACATAAGACGTTAATTTAGCTGTTACTCTAATGATTAAATTTGTAAGTCAAGTGGAAAAGTTCGTTCCCAGAAAGTGTCACAAAAGATCCTGAGGAAGAAAATCAATAGTGTCTACATAAATTACGAAAAATTGTAATAGATTCAGCAAAATTCAACCACATTGTCAATAAGTCTTCAAATTCCCACAAAATCTTTGAAATCCTCTCAGTTAAAAAAAATCTAAAAATGTGAACAATCCAAATTACCACCTCTGACGCAAATTACCAAATTGACCTGTCAGCAAGAAACTAACATCTGAGTGAATCCCATATCAGAGAAGATCCAACACTAAGAATCAAAAGACACTGCCTACTGGGGGTACTCTCTGTAATGACTCAGTCATAAAAAGCAATGAAGAAACAAACTATGCTGTTTCTAATTTCTTTTCACATTATGCTTAGAATTTATGAACATGTTCCTATTACCATATTTAAAAGTATCATTTGATTCCATACCTTCTGCCCAGGATCTGCTTTACTTTCATTACTGTATTTGAAATATTTCTTATTCTACTTTGTTTTGCTGCCAATCCAACAATCTGAAAAAAAAAATAATATATATATATATATATTACAATGTATGTAATTTTAAATTATTTCAGAAGTACAAAAATGGGGGGACTAGTACCTCTTCATTTTCTGAGTAAGCAACAACAGCTGGAGTAACTCGGTCACCGGCATCATTTGCAACCACACCAGCCCGGCCATCCTAGAGAAAAAAACACGAAATACATAGTCTCATTAGACGTATTCAGACGTGTGCATTTGTGCACCAGTGTTACTTTGCCATCTGTGTGGAAAGAAAAACTGCTATCTCAATATTTTAAACTTGCAAATTTAATTACCATTTAATTTCCTCGTTTTCATAGAAAGCCTATAATTCCATGAAGAACTGCCTCATGTTTTCAGTCTGCTCTGCAAAGTCAACAATTGAATCAAAAGTAATAACAACCTTTCTACACACAAAACGAAGGCTATTATTACGTTACCTTTCCTACCTCTCTTCCTTCTTACCATTACCATTTCTTTTTTTTTTTTTTTTGGACACGGAGTCTTGCTCCGTGGCCCAGGCTGGAGTGCAGACTGCAGTGCCAGATCTCGGCTCACTGCAACTTCCGCCTCCCGGGTTCAAGCCATTCTCATGCCTCAGCCTCCTGAGCAGCTGGGATTACAGGCGTTCCCGGCTAATTTTTAGTATTTTTAGTAGAGGCGGGGTTTCACCATGTTAGCCAGGCTGGTCTAGAACTCCTAACCTCACGTGATCCGCCTGCCTCGGCTTCCCAAAGTGCTGGGATTACAGGCGTAAGCCACCGCGCTGGGCCCCTTTCTTCCCATTTCTACAAATGAAGTAGTATTATTCCCTTTGGCTTTTCCTAACAAGTCATTTGACATTTAAACGCGGGACTAGTGGCAACGGAGTTCATGATTATCGTTTCTTCTGCCTCCCCACTGATGAGAGAAAGGCCACAAGTCCTGTCAGGCTCTCACTTCCAGAAAGGCCACCTCTGTAGACCACGCACCATCAACTGGCTTCACAGCCAGGCAGCTTTGCGGGACCATCAGCCCCAGCTCGACTGCAGCCTCCCCGCCCCTCCGGGACCTAGACGTTCGGGCCCAGCTCAGCGCGTTCTGCGGCCCTGCTGTCCCAGAGACCACCGCCTCCAAGTACCTCGCGGCCACAACTTTCCCAGGACCTCCCACCCGCGGGAATCCTGAGGCCCTGACGTCAGCGAGACCCCTTCCGGCATCCAGAGGCCAGGACGTCCCCGTGACCTCCCCCAAAATGCTCGCAGCCCCGCCGTCCCCGGGACCCCCCGGGACACCCAGCGGCCCCGCTGTCTCCGGGACCCCCCCGGGCACCCTGCAGCTACGTCGTCCCTGGGACCCCTCCGGGCATCCCGCCGCCATGACGCCCTGGGACCCCGCGCGTCTACATCGCCGCGAGCCTCCGCCGCGGAGTAGACGACTTTCCGGAGGAATCGCCAGGCGCGAGGCCGGGCCTGCCCGGCCCTTCGCTCCGGAGTGTCCTCGCGGCAACGCCACTCCACGACATCCCTAGGCCGGCGACACGCCGCTCTCAAGCCTGTGGATGACCCAGCGCCAGAAAACCGGGTGGCCGTCATGAAGCCCTAGCCCAGCTCCGCAGCCCCTCACCTTATAGACGGCCACACAGGCTGAGGTGCAGCCCAGGTGAACTCCGATGGCCGCCATGAGGCAGCAGGGACGGCAGCGGCAGGAATGAGGGGGTCCCCCAACAGCAACAGCTACCGGCCGCCCAACGGCCCCATCAGGCACCGCGGAGCTTCACGTTCCCGCCAGCCCCCTGCGTCCGGTCGGCCGCTACAGCCTCCCGCGTCGCCGCCAATCAGCGTGAAGGTTCCGCCTTTCTTCACGCGCAGTCCGCGAGTAGCTTCAGCGCGTCTCTGCGCTCCGCGGAAACTGCACAGTGCGCACGCGCAACCGGGGAGGGACGGGAAAAGGCTCCTACACTCCGCCCCCTTCCTATCCCTTCCTTGAGAGCCAATGGAAACTCTGTGTTCAGTTGCGTCATTTGTCCTGGCAACTACTGGCAGATTCTTTCCAACCTCGAATTCTGCTCAGCTCGCTTTGGCAGCTTGGTGGGCGGTGGGCGCGGGTGGCGGAGGCGATTGAAGCTGCTGGCCCAGCATGTGGTGCGCGAGCCCAGTTGCTGTGGTGGCCTTTTGCGCCGGGCTTTTGGTCTCTCACCCGGTGCTGACGCAGGGCCAGGAGGCCGGGGGGCGGCCAGGGGCCGACTGTGAAGGTGAGCGGTGTGACAACTGCTTGCATGGCGGCGGCCCCGCGCTGCGGCGCAGCAGCTGTCGGCTTTGGCTTCTCCTGGCCCTGGCTATAAATAACATTCCGCCCAGGAAATGCAGGCCCTGTCCCTCGTTTTAGATCGCCCAAGCCCAGCTCGAGTAAAAAGCTCAAGCCGGGCCTGGTGGTAACGTGAGGCCACGTTGTGGTTTTGCTGTGAATATTAAACTTCAGCAGTAAAAGCTGGTGGGTTTGTATTTGGATTAGAGTTTGTGCAAAGAATGCTAGATTCAGATGATACTGGCGCCAGATTGATTCTGCTGCTTCCAACCAGCAAGATTTGCCTCCCCTTGCACAGAAGACGTCTTTCAAGTCCAAGCTAGTTGGTGACTCCCCAAAGGAAAACAAAACATGGCATTGAGTTGAGTAGCTTAAATCAGAGGACATAGCTAATATTTGTTAGGACTCTGTAGGTGAAAATTGCTTTGCAAAGGAGTACACTGACTCCTTGGGAAAGAGAGGAATACAAAAGAGTGGTTCCTTTTTGTTCACGGTATCTCAGCTGTGAACTCGCAGTCAGAATACGTGAGTCTGTATCCCACCAAGTCCCCTAGCTCTGAGACTTTGGTTTTTGCAAAATCAGCGTACTTCACTTTAGAGATCTGTTAGCAAAGGCAAAGAAGGTAAGTGGCTATGCTAGCCCCTTCCTTCTGGACTCCTGTAGCGCTCACTCCATGTTTTACTGAAAATAATTAGTTTAAATGTATATGCCCTCAGCTGGAAAATATATCCCTAGTGAACAGGAAATTGTAGGTTCATCATATATGTTGAGTGAATGGATGGGTATAGTCGTACTAAAGTTGTGTTTTTGTTTGTTTTGTTGTTTTGTTTTTTGTTTTTGTTTTTGTTTTGAGACAGTCTCACTGTGTTGCCCAGGCCGGAGTACAGTGGCACAATCTTGGCTCACTGCAGCCTCCATCATCGGGTTCCAGCGATTCTCCTGCCTCAGCCTCCCAAGTAGCTGGTACTAAAGGCACCACCACCACGCCTGACTAATTTTTATATTTTTAATAGAGATGCAGTTTCACCATGTTGGCCAGACTGGTCTTGAACTCCTGGCCTCAGGTGATCGGCCCGCCTCAGCCTCCCAAAGTGCTGGGATTACAGGCGTGAGCCACAGCGCCCAGTCCTTAAAGTGTTAATAATTGGAGCCTGGCTTTCTATGAGCTCTGCAATAATTAAACTTTTCTCCAGAAATTTAAAATATCTACATGTTATTACTCGATATAAAGATATTTGTTTAGCTAAGTTATAATTTTGCTCCAAACCATGCTATAATTGTGTCCTATACTTTTAAAACAGACTTTGTGAGGCAAAGACAATTGATTTGATGACTCATCTGGGGCTCCCACTTATAAATGTTTCAAGAGAGACAGCATCTGGATTAATTAAATGGGAAGCTTATGCTGTCTGTCCTAAATTTATTACAGCATGCTGTGATTATTGCATGTCTGACTAACCTGTCTATATATTTCATTTGTTAGGTAAAGAAGCTTGTGTAATCGCAGAGGAAGGACATAACAGTTTGGTAACTAAAAGAACCAGATTCTGCATCCAGCTCTATTACTGCTTATGAGTGATCCTCCCTCCTCAGCCTCCTTTCTTATTTACAACTTAATTTCTTCTCAATGTATAAGATTAAAATGCCATATTATACATACTCTAGAGCGAAGGCAAAAAAACTGAATGGTTCCTGAGCCGTCTCGGACCTATTGATATGTTTCGTTACATTTACAAAATATTTTGAAAAAAATTAAATTCACTGGGTACATTTTAAAATTGGGAAATTTTATGTAAAAATTCATATTTCTGGCTTTTCTCAAAAAACCAGATGACCTGGCAAGATTGGCCTTATGGCTGTATAGTAGAATTGGCTATTGGCTGCTCTTTTTAGAAAGGACTTGGGTTTTGAGTAGTTTGCCGCCCCTACTCTGCCCCCGATTCAAATTGCTTAACTCTTCTTTTTCCTTGCCTGGCCCCTGTAGATATTCAAGTCTGTGAGTCCTATTATTAGGTAATGTGAGGTTTACTGGAAAAACATAAATATTTCCAAATCTCTTTTAAAGGATTATATTATGGGACTATTTTAAATAACTTTTTATTTTAAAATAATTATAGATTCACTTATAAAACTATCTTTAATAAACATAAAAGCACAATATAAATAAAAGAAGTATGGCTATCTGAGGTTATTTTAGCAATAAAGACATCCCAGAAAACTTAAGAAGCTACTAATTTGTTAGGGCATTTATGGTGAGGTTATTCTCTTCATGTAAGTCCAGAAAATGAGTTTCCTTTCTTACCTTGACTTCTTTGTGGTGTGTGACACCATTGACATCTTTCCCTTTCAGAGACTGCCTTCTCTTCATGGTCATGATACTGCTTTTCTCCTTCCTGTCTCTATGCCCACTTGTCCAGTGTGTCTTTGTGGGCTTCTGATCCTCTAGCCATGGCTTAGAATTTTCCAGGGTTCTGCTCTCTTCTCTTCTCTCTTCTCAGTCTACACACTCTTCTTGGCAACCCAAACCAACCTACCTCCAGTCTAATAAATCTCTAACCTTATATCCACTGACCTTTCTAGAGTCTCAGACCTTGCATCCAATTGACTAGTGAACATGCCCTCTTAGATATGATGTACATCAACATCAACACAGTCAAAAAACCAAAGTCATCATCTCCTTCCCTTCTCACTCCCCTAAACCTGTTACTGTCATGCTTACGGTGACAGCATGGGACAACTACCTGGTCACCTAGCCTAGATTCTAGACTTCTCTTTCCCCCTTATCCCCCAACCAATCACTACATCGTTGAGTCTACCTCCTGACTGGTCCTGCTCCTTTCTCCTTACTCAAGTCTAGGACTTCCTTACAGAACTTCAGCAGTTTTCCCCTCCGCATTGTCAAAATAGCATTCTTCCTGCTACCTGTCTCCCTCCTGTCTAGTCCCCTGGCAGGGCTATCATATTACTTCCTTATTTAGTATCTTTCAGCAGTTTCCCAGTTTCCTCCAGGTGCCGCTCCTTTGTTTTCCCACAGTATCTGATACACTTCTCATATTGTTTTGGTCTCCTCTGAAAGTCAAGGCAGTGTTTCTCACCACCTCATGTCCAGCAGCTACCATAGTGCATGGCATATGGTAGGCGCTCAGTTTGTTGAAGAAATGTATGCATATATGCTGTGATAAAATTTTGGGTATATTTTAGTGAGTCAAATGTAGATCTTGAAAAGGACAAGTTAGTATTCCTAACTTTCATCACCTAGATGATACATTGGCAGAGTGATAGTTGAGGTATAGAAATCATATGAAGGTATACTGTGGGAAATACCACAAGAGTGATGAGGCACTGGAATACTGGGGGTTTCTTTTGTAGGAGACAAGAATTAGAGGCTCCTAGGAGACTTTGATGATAGTTTCTTTTTCTTTTTTCTTTTTTTTTTTGAGACAGAGCCTCACTCTGTCACCCAGGTTGGAGTACAGTGGAACAGTCTCAGCTCACTGCAACTTCCGTCTTCCAGGCTCAAGTGATCCTCCCTCCTCAGCCTCCTGAGTAGCTGGACTACAGGTGCTTGTCATTACACCCAGCAAATTTTTTGTATTTTTAATAGAGATGAAGTTTCACTATGTTGCCGAGGCTGGTCTTGAACCCCTGAGCTCAAGCGATCCGCCAGCCTTGGCCTCCTAAAGTGCTGGGATTACAAGTGTGAACTCCCGTGCCTGGCCTGATGATAGTTTCTGCTGACTTGTAGCATTAATCATTACAGCAGGTTTCTGCTTTGCATACTGGATATATTTGCTAATTAAACTCAGCAAAATACATGTTGAGAGGGATCTCATTTTCCACGTGTAATATAGCAGATCATTACACATTCCTTTTAACACTGTGTTCACTTGCCTTTTGGAATAACACTCAGTCTTTGTTCTTATCCTACTTCACTGGCTGCTCCTTTCCGTCTTTTTCTGGTTGTTTTCCATCTTCCCAATTGCTAAACATTGGGATTTCACAAGGCTGAGACCCAGGACTGTGTCTCTTTTCCGTCTCTCCTTACTTTGTGTTCTCATCTCAAAAACACCATTTGAATGTTGATGGCTTCCAGATTTATATAGTCATCCTAGATCTTATACCTGATCTTCACATTTCTATATCTAGCTGCCTTCTCACTGTTTCCAGTTGGATGTTATATTAGTCAAGGTTCTCCAGAGAAATAAAACCAATAGGACCAAACAGAACATATAATCTATATCTATATATCTTCTTAATATCTGTAATATTTATCTATGTAAAAAGAGATTTATTATAAGGAATTGGCTCACAAGATTGTGAAGGCTGAGAAGTCCAAAATCTGCAGTGTGGGCAAGCAGGCTGGAGACCCAGGAGAGCCTGTGGTACGAAGGAAGTCTAAAGGGAGTCTGCTGGAGAATTCCCTCTTCGTCAGGAAGGCTGGTCTATTTTGTTCTGTGCAGGCCCTCAAGTAGTTAGGTAAGGCCCACCCACATTATGGAGGCCAATCTGCCTTACCCAGAGTTCATCAATTTAAGTGTTAATTTCATCATTGCTACATAAAATTAACCATCACAGACGTCTAGAAGCATCTTGAACTTCATATGTCAAGACTGGATTCTGGCCAGGCATGGTGGCTCATGCCTGTAATCCAGCACTTTGGGAGGCTGAGGCAGGCAGATCACCTAAGGTCAGGAGTTAGAGACCAGCCTGGCAAACATAACGAAACCCCATCTCTACTAAAAATACAAAAATTAGCTAGGTGTGGTGACATGCGCCTGTAATCCCAGCTACTCAGGAGGCTGAGGCACAAGAATCACTTCAATCCAGGAGTTGGAGGTTGCAGTGAGCCGAAATGGCACCGCTGCACTCCAGCCTGGGCAACACAGCGAGATTCTGTCTCAAAAAAAAAAAAAAAAAAAAAAAAAGCAAAAAAAGAAAGATTAGATTCCTGCTTGTCACCATAAACTGCTTCTCCTGCAGTCTTCCTCATTTCAGCAGATGGCAACTCCACGGTTCCAGTTTCTTGGCCAAAATTATTGGGATTATCTTTGATTCCTCTCTCTCTCCCCAACTCTGACACATTACATCTGGCTTATTAGTAAATTCTTTTGGCTCTTCCTTCAAGATAGGTCCAGAGTGTAACCACTTCTCATGACTGCTGTAGCTACTGCCCTGGTCTAAGAGATGCAACTATTTTGAGAACCTCTAAACTGGTCAGCTGGTCTCCCTGCTTTCTTTTCTGCTTCCTTGTAATCCATTCTTCAGACAGCCTTCAGAGACATCCTTTATGAATCATGTCGGACCATAACTCTTCTCTACTCAAAACCTTAAATGGCTTCCCTTCTCAGAGTGACATCCAGAGACCTTACCAAGCTTGAAAGGCCCTGGATGCCCCAGCATGCTGCTGCCTATTTGATCTCATTTGCTACACACCTCCCTCTTGCTCCCTCTACTTTAGCCACACTGGCCTTCTGGCTGTTCCTTGAAGCCACCAAGGACACTCCTGCATTTGAGCCTTGGTACTTGCTGTTCCTTCTGCCTGCGGAGTTCTTCCTCAAGTCATCCACTTAAATTGTTCTTCCACTTCCTTCAGGTGTCTGCTTGAATATCACTTTATCTAAGAGATCTTTCCTAACCAATCCATTAAGAATCGTACTATTACCTTGTCACCCTCCATCCTCCTTACCATGTTTATTTTTCTTCTTTGCTACGTATACCTTTACTTCTATCGGATGTAACTCTCAAGGGCAAGTTCTTTGTTTTCTTCATTACTGAATCTTAGGAACCTAGAATACTGTTTTGCACTTACTAGTCGCTTAGTAAATATTTGTTAAAAACATGAATAACTGGCTATTATGTTTAGTATTCTGTTCATGTTGATAGCATTAGAAATAAAAATATATGGGCTAGGCACGGTGGCTCACACCTGTAATCCCAGCACTTTGGGAAGCCGAGGTGGGCAGATCACCAGGTGAGGAGATCGAGACCGTCCTGGCCAACATGGTGAAACCCTGTCTCTACTAAAAATACAAAAACTTAGCTGGGTGTGGTGGCACACGCCATTAGTCCCAGCTACTCAGGAGTCTGAGGCAGGAGAATTGCTTGAACCTCAGAAGGTGGAGGTTGCATTGAGCCGAGATCACACCACTGCACTCTAGCCTAGGCAACAGAGCGAGACTCCATCTTGAAAAAAAATATATATATATATATGTGTGTGTGTGTGTGTGTATATATGTATTATATATGTGTATATATGTATTTTATATATATGTATATACAGTATATATATGTGTGTGTATATATATATATATATATGACTTTAAGCTCTAAAAGATGACATGATTGGCCAGTCATCTAAAAGCAACTGAAAATACTGGATAAAATAAAAATGTGAAAATATTGTAAAGTATGAGTTGGGAAGGCATACCCAGAAGCCAACCACAGAGTGGAAGTGGGAGTCCAGGGGGTTGAAGGGAGCACTGAAGCTGGCTTTACCTGGGAGCATTTGTTAGCCAGGTGATCTGAACTGAAGTTTTCATGGTTTTGGCTAAATAAACACAAGTCCCAGGCATTTCCAAGTTAGGAGAGTGAGAGCAGATCCTCTACCAACTAATTCAGGGCCCCAAAGACCTAGCCCTTCATTATAAAGGGTGAACTGAAAGTAACTACAACCTATTTCCATCTTTAGAGACTAAAAGAAATGGTTTCACTTGAACATTTTTACTGATAAAAGGAAAAACAAAACTTTCTTGATAACTCATAATTACAAGCTCGTGCACATAGGTAGGGGTCAAAGGCCCCATTCACACTACTAGGATGATCTGAAACATCTCGAACTGATAATTTAGTTGAAAGTGATTTTAAGTAGATCATACCCTCAGGAATCAGCAAATGTGAGTCTTGTTTTTGTTTTTGTCTTGTTTTGTTTTTTGAGACGGAGTTTCACTCTTGTCGCCCAGACTGGAGTATAATGGTGTGATCTCGGCTCACTGCAACCTCCGCCTCCCGGGTTCAAGCATTTCTCCTGCCTCAGCCTCCCAAGTAGCTGGGATTACAGGCACCTGCCACCACTCCTGGCTAATTTTTGTATTTTTAGTAGAGACGGGGTTTCATCATATTGGCCAGGCTGGTCTCGAACTCCTGACCTCAGGTGATCCACTCACCTTGGCCTCCCAAAGTGCTGGGATTACAGGCATAAGCCACCGTGCCCAGCCAGCAAATGTGAGTCTTACTTACAGGAACCCACATTCAACCTAGTCCTCAAAGAATTCATACAGTTAAAGTTCTAAGAAATAGAGCTGCCACTTAGAAAAGTCATGAACCCCTAGGGAAGAAGGGCACATAAGTGAGAGCCAGCTGGAACAAAAAACAGAAGAGGCACACCCCTGCAGTGGCTTCAGGTATTGGAATAATCAGGCATAGAAGTTATGTTTTTTTATGTTTAAAGAAACATAGAACATAAACCGAACCCATCCCTACCCATAGGGGACTATAAGGAAATTTACCTTGACACTGAGCAAAGTAGAAAAAAGAAAAAATATATATCTCTGAGAAATGATAACAACAAAACGTCCCTCACTTGTATTTGCAGCCAAAATTCACATCGGGGCCCAAAAACTTCAAGCTATATATTTAGTTTAAAGCAGTGCCTGGCTAGTTGCCCTTAGTCCCTGAGAAATACAAATACAAATCCTTACTGGAAATAATGCTCCTTCATCTCAGGCTTCAAACAATCTTCACAAATAAGTTTTGAGACGTATGAGTATCGTGTGGCGCAAAATAAGCAAGCACACAAAGAAACGAGGCACCAGGAACAAGAACCTATAGAAACAACAACAAATAGAAACGTACTCTGGGCCTGATGCAGTGGCTGTAATCCCAGCGCTTTGGGAGGCCGAGATGGGCAGATCACTTGAGGTCAGGAGTTTGAGACCAGCCTGGCCAACATGGTGAAACCTCGTATCTACTGAAAATATAAAAATTAGCAGGGTGTGGTGGCGAGCGCCTGTAATCGCAGCTACTTGGGGGGCTGAGGCAGGAGAATCACTTGAGCCAGGGAGGCAGAGGTTGCAGAGAGTTGAGATTGCGCCATTGCACTTAAGCCTGGGTGAACAGAGCGAGACTTCGTCTTAAAAAACAAACAAACAAACAAAAAAAACTCTGAAGACTTCAGATATTGAAATTTTCACACACAGATCATAATTAAGTTTAGTGTGTTTAAAGATATAAAAAACAAGCTTGAAAGTATCTTCAAGATATAAGGAACTAGAAGAAATGACCTAACAAGCCTCCCATTTTAGCCTCCTCAGTAGCTGGGACCACAGGTGTGTGCAGAGACAGAGTCTTACTGTGTTGCCCAGGCAGGTCTCAAACTCCTGGCCTCAAGAGATCCTCTCGCCTTGGCCTTGCAAAGTGTTGGGATTACAGGTGTGATCCACTATGCCCAGCCTGATTTCACTTTAGGCTCATAACGATGGAAATAAAGACTTATGCAGATCACCAAGGGGCTTCATTCAGGATTCTTATTCAGGTTTTTCTCTGTGCTTACAATTATGCTGTCCCAAGATGATAGCCTATTTTATTTTAGGGTTAGCCAAATTTTGTGGAAAAGTTATCATTTTAGGTAGAACTTCGTTCCAATGATTGATTGATTCAATATGCTGTTACAATGTGTCCACTGCATTTAGGCCCAATACTAAACTAATAGCAACAGGCCTGAAATCATTCTTTTTATTTATATTTTTAATTTTCTTGAGACAGGGTCTCACTCTGTCACCCAGGCTGCAGTGCAGTGGCTTGATCATAGCTCACTGCAGCCTCCATCTGCCGGGCTTAAGTGACCCTCCCACCTCAGCCTCTCGAGTAGCTGACACGACAGGCATTCACCATCATGCCTGGTGTTTTTTTGTTTTTGTTTTTTTGTGTTTTTTTTTTAGTAGAGACAAGGTCTCACTATGTGGTCCAGACTGGCTCCAAACTCCTGGGCTCAAGTGATCTTTCTGCTTCTGCCTCCCAAAGTGCTGGGATTACAGGTGTGAGCCACCATGCCTGGCCCCCAAATCATTCTTACTTAGCATTGGAATCCACTGTCATGAAGCATTGACTCATATGGACGTTTCTTTTTTTGTGTGTGAGATGGAGTCTTGCTCTGTCGCCAGGCTGGAGTGCAGTGGTAAGATCTCGGCTCACTGCAATCTCCACCTGCTGGGTTCAAGTGATTCTCCTGCCTCAGCCTCCTGAGTAGCTGGGACTATAGGCACGCGCCACCATGCCTGGCTAATTTTTTGTATTTTAGTAGAGAGAGGATTTCACCATGTTGGCCGGGATGGTCTCGATATCCTGACCTTGTGATCTGCCCACCTCAGCCTCTCAAAGTGCTAGGATTACAGGGGTAAGCCACCATGCCCAGCCCCATATAGACTTTTAAATGTGGTTAGTGGGTCATATGCATAGGTGTGGTAGTGGTTAAGTTGTGCATGCAGACATATTTATTTGTTCCTTCCAGTATGTAAAGAATTCTTGAACCGATTCTACAAGTCACTGATAGACAGAGGAGTTAACTTTTCGCTGGACACTATAGAGAAAGAATTGATCAGTTTTTGCTTGGACACCAAAGGAAAAGAAAACCGCCTGGTATAGTAAATTTCACCTTTCATTTTCCCCATGTGCTTGAAGAATACTGCTAATAGTTTCATTTCTTAGACGTGAAGTCCTCCTACTTACATGTTTGCCTCAAGTATGTCCATTTTAGAGCACGCAGCAAGCAGAAATCCATCTTCCAGTGACATGTAGTTCTGCGTGTTTTCATCCAGAATATTTCCAGTGTTACTTTACTTTCTGAGTACACCACAGATAACCAATTCTATGTTTTCTTTTTTCTTTTTCTGAGACAGAGTCTTGCTCTGTTGCCCAGGCTAGAGTGCAGTATCATCATCTCAGCTCACTGCAACCTCTGCCTCCTGGGTTCAAAGCATTCTTGTGCCTTAGCCTCCCGAGTAGCTAGGATTACGGGTGTGCACCACCACACCCTGCTAATTATGTATTTTTAGTAGAGACAGGGATTCACCATGTTGGCCAGGGTGGTCTTGAACTCCTGACCTCAGGTGATCCACCCACCTCAGCCTCCCAAAGTGCTGGGATTACAAGAATGAGCTACCATGCCCAGCCCAATTCTACGTTTTCTTAAATGAAATTATGAAACTGAATTCCCAATAAGAATTTAGCATCCTAAGAGTGGGTGGGCTTTCCATTTCTTACCAAGACAATTAATCAAACTTATCAAAATATTTTACATTATTATTTATACATAATTAATAAAGTATTTATATTTTCTTCTAATCACATTAATATGGTGTTTCCTGGGCATACACATATGGCTTGTTTCAATATACTGTTTTATATCACTTAAGACAATTTGGGGCCAATTCCTTTTTCCCTAAAATTGTCAGATTGTCAGTTACATCTGCATGTTGGCTGTTCACCATGGCCATGTTGTAAAGCTCATGCCATTTATCCGTATCATTAAGGTCTATCTATCTATATTTTTTTGAGACAGGGTCTCCCTCTGTCACCCAGGCTGGCGTCCCAGTGATCTTTCCTCACTGGAACCTCAACCTCCCAGGTTCAAGTGATCCTTCCACCTCAGCTTCCCAAGTATCTGGGACTAAGGCACATGCCACCATGCCCAGATAATTTTTGGATTTTTTTTTTTTTTTTTTTTTTTTTGTAGAGACGGGGTTTGGCCTTGTAGCCCAGGCTGATCTCGAACTCCTGAGCTCAAGTGATTCACCCGCCTTGGCCTCCCAAAGTGCTGGGATTACAGGTGTGAGCCACTGTGCCCAGCCAACGTTTATATTTTTAAATGTAAAATTTTGAAGTCAGGGAGCTTGAATGTCAGAATTGCCTGATGGGAAAAGACATGGGCTCTAGAGCCAAAGTGCTGGGTTTTATAATTCTGTCTCTTCTATTGCTAGATCTGGGGACCTTCAGTTGGCTTGGGTATAAAATACAGATACTAATAGTACTTATTTCACAGGATTGTTGTGAGACATAAATAAGTTAATACCTTTAAAGCACTGAGAGCAGCACCTGGCACAGAGAAAACACTTAGTGTCAGCTCTTCTCATTAGTCTTTTAACACCATGTGAATTGTAGGGCACATCTAATTAGGATGATCACGAGAATGGAGTCACTTGTTTCCTGGTGGCTTAGTCAGCAGGTTAACCTCTCTTCTTCTTTCTTCTTCTTCTGCTTCTGCTGCTTCTGCTGCTTCTTTTTCTTCTTCTTCTTCTTCTTTTTCTTCTTCTTCTGCTTCTTTCTTCTTCTGCTTCTTCTGCTTCTTTCTTCTGCTGCTTCTGCTGCTTCTGCTGCTGCTGCTGCTTCTTCTGCTTCTTCTTCTGCTGCTGCTCTTCTTCTGCTTCTGCTGCTTCTGCTTCTGCTGCTTCTGATTCCTCCACTTCTGCTGCTTCTTCTGCTGCTGCTTCTGCTGCTTCTACTGCTTCTTCTGCTGCTTCTTCTACTGCTTCTTATGCTTCTTCTGCTGCTGCTTCTGCTTCTGCTTCTTCTTCTTCTTCTTCTTCTTCTGCTGCTTCTGCTTCTGCTGCTGCTTCTGCTTCTTCTTCTTCTTCTCCTTCTCCTTCTCCTTCTCCTGCTTCTGCTGCTGCTGCTGCTGCTGCTGCTGCTTCTTCTTCTTCTTCTTCTTCTTCTTCTTCTTCTTCTTCTTCTTCTTCTTCTTCTTCTTCTTCTTCTCCTTCTTCTTCTTCTGCTTCTGCTTCTTCTGCTGCTTCTTCTTCTCCTTCTTCTTCTTTTCTTCTTCTTCTTTTTTTTTGAGATGGAGTCTCACTCTGTCACCCAGGCTGGAGTGCCCTGGCATGATCTTGGCTCACTGCAACCTCCACCTCCTTGGTTCAAGCAAGCACACCTGGCTAATTTTTGTAGTTTTAGTAGAGATGGGGTTTCACCATGTTGACCAGGCTGGTCTAGAACTCCTGACCTCAAATGATCTGCCCTCCTCAACCTCCCAAAGTGCTGGGATTACAGGCGTGAGCCACCATGTCCAGCCTACCTCTTTCTTCTTGATACTGTATTCCTTCATTACTGGAATGATACTGAATGTCTTCATTGTCTGGAACACTCAATTCTCTTCATTTTCCTTCAGTGCTATTATCTAGGAGCCACAAAAGACGCAGCCACAAAGATCCTAAGTGAAGTCACTCGCCCAATGAGTGTGCATATGCCTGCAATGAAGATTTGTGAGAAGCTGAAGAAGTTGGATAGCCAGATCTGTGAGCTGAAATATGGTATAACACAGCCCCGTGTTTTTCCCAGTAGGTCCAATGGATTCCCAAACCTCTAAAGTTGGGGCCATGTCTTCTAAAAATTCAGTGTTAAAAGGAAAGAAATTCACCACTCATCAATAAGTTGCTTGGCTGATGAATGGTACCTATGGGCATTTGAGTTTCGTTGAGGGAAGACAAATAAATAGTACAGGCATAATCAGCATTAGGTTAAAATTGCCAATGAGGCCTGGCGCGGTGGCTCAGGCCTTTCATCCCAGCACTTTGGGAGGCCGAGACGGGCGGATCGCAAGGTCAGGAGTTCAAGTACCAGCCTGGCCAATATGGTAAACCCTGTCTCTACTAAAAAAATACAAAAAAATTAGCCGGGTGTGGTGGCGGGCAGCTATAGTCCCACCTACTCGGGAGGCTGAGGCAGGAGAATCGCTTGAACCCGGGAGGCAGAGGTTGCAATGAGCCCAGATCCCGCCACTGCACTCCAGCCTGGGTGATAGAGCAAGACTCTGTCTTAAAAAAAAAAAATTGCCACTGAAATCACAGAGTTTAGACTCCTAACACACCAAGGCAAAGCCAGATACGTATGTCAAGGAAAATCTCAACATATAGAGAGAGCAGCTACTCCTGGTGATTTGGATCTTGGTAATCTATTAAAACAAAACTAGTACCTATTCAAAGATGATACAAGGACTTTGAAGATGTAAAGATGACTATGACTTCCTTCCTAGGCAGAGCTACCATTCTGCCAGCTTTAAATTTTGGGAAATTGGTTATTCACATCAAGTCAGGTTTTTCCTGGTAAAATAGCTTATCAGAGGGTGCCCAAAACAAACAGCAAGAAAAGGAAGGAGATGTCCTTTTTTTTTTTTTTTTTTTTTTGAGGGGAAGTCTCGCTCTATCACCCAGGCTGGAGTGCAGTGGTGCGATCTTGGCTCACTGCAATCTCTGCCTCGTGGGTTCAAGCGATTCTCCTGCCGGAGCCTCCCGAGTAGCTGGGATTACAGGCATGCACCACCACGCCTGGCTAATTTTTGTATTTTTATTAGAGACGAGGTTTCACCATGTTGGCCAGGCTGGTCTTGAACTCCTGACCTCAGGTGATCCACCTGCCTTGTCCTCTCAAAGTGCTAGGATGACAGGCGTAAGCCACCATGCCCGGCCAGGAGATGTCCTATTTTAAAATGTTATCCTTGGCCCCATACATTTCACATGGATAGATCTTTTATCATGATTTGTATCTGGGCTAGACATTTGGGTAGATTGAGTGGGTATCATAAAAGGATGTGGAATTCCTTCCTCAGCCTATCCTTGACACCTGAAATCCCACTCATTCCTTTTGCTTAAGTCATTGTTTTGCATGCATTACATACCCAGTGTAGTACTGTCAACTACCTAAGTAATTAGCATCCACCTCTAAGTTATTTTAGTCTTATTTTCCAACACAGCCGTGTAATAGTCCTATGCACCATAGCCACATAGCTAGCTTTAAGTAGGTTTAAGGTTGAAAGTTACCACAGACAACCTATTTCTTAACTTGCAAAGCACAAGCCCTAACTTCCAGGGTAGTTATTAGAGTAGGCATCCCTTTTTTATTGGCTTCCAAGCCATGAAATAGGGGCAGAAATCACTGAGTCCATATAAACAATATTCACAAACTTGGCCGGGCGCGGCAGCTCACACTTGTAACCTCAGCACTTTGGGAGGCCAAGAAAGGAGGATCATTTGAGCCCAGGAGTTCAAGACCAACCTGGGCAACATGGTGAAACCCTGTCTCTACAAAAATACAAAAATTAGCCAGGTGTGGTGTTGAGCGCCTATAGTCCTAACTACTCAGGAGACTGAGGTGGGAGGATCACCTGAGCCTGGGAGGTCAAGGCTCTGGTGAGCTGTGATTTTTTTCACTGTACTCCAGCCTGAGTGGCAGAGTGAAACCCCATCTGAAAAATAAATAGATAAAATAAAAATAAATAAAAGCCAATATCACAAACCTCTTTTGATTTTTTAAATTCAACAAATTTGTTGTGAATACCTTCTCCTATATCCTAGGGATCTTACAGGGCTCCTTAAACAATAGAAAAATCAGATATTATTGAGACGAAATGACTACCTAATGTTTTGGCGATGCTGGCCACTAGAGGCCCTTGGGGAGCTATGAACTAGTTTTAATCTTTGTGTGGACCTTTACTTTGGAGTTTTGGGGCATCACAGAGGTTTTCCTCTTTTTAAAATTAATGCCAGATACCAAGTTCTCTAGAAAAACTCAAAGAAACTACTGACATTTACAAAAAAATGTATTTTTCTCCTTCAGCCTCTTATCTTGAATAGACTAATAGTTCTTAATTATCCTCCCCAGCTATTGTTAGCAGGAAAGATAAGATTAAACAGGGACCTTTGTGCTGTGGGAGATTAATAATTTGGGCTATGCAAGTTTCTACTTTAAAAAGTATTCTGTCAGATCAGCCATGAAATTAACAAGCAAGATAAGTGTGGAGTTGGAGTATGTTTTCAATTAGGAAGGTGCCATTTGGTTTTTGACCTGAAAGAATGTTTTCATTTGCTTGCTTTGTGTTTAAAAAGGATAGGGAATCACTATAAAAATTTAAGGGTTTTCTGGAGCACAGTGTATAGCTGACCCTCTAAATACAAAAGTCTTTTAACATCCAGCTTTTAAATTAGAACAGAGTTACCGGAAGGTTTTGACAAATAATTTGACAAATATTAGGTTTTTAATGTTTTTAAATGTTGTGTTCTACTACTCAGAGGTAAAAAAGAGAAAGAACTTTCAAGAGAAGTCAAGCTGTAAAAATTCTAGGCTGCCACTAGTTGTTTAATAAATAAACTTAAATGTTGTATTCATTATCAAAGTGAACACCGGACAAGCGGGGAGGGGCAAAAGACACTTTTTTTTTTTTTGACAGTCTCACTCTGTTGCCCATGCTGGAGTGCAGTGGCATGATCTCTGCTTACTGCAACCTCAGCCTCCTGGGTTCAAGAGATTCTCCTGCCTCAGCCTCCTGAGATGCTGGGATTACAGGTGTGTGCCCCCATGCCCCTCTAGACTTTCTTTTGAAAGAGGAAAAGTACCTCTTTCTGATAGGAAAATTATAATTATTGGTATATTACAGATGAGCTTATTATTTTTTGTATTTTGGGCTTTTTTTCAATCTTTTCAGCAATTGAGAAGTAGCTGAGTTCTTGATATTTTCTGCACATAATCTATAAACAGCGAAATAGTAGTCTTGCTAGAGGAGGTTAGATGTTGGTGACAAGTATCATTGGCAAGAATTTTAGAAGCCAGGTTGGCTGGCACCAAAGCCCTAGCATTGGAGAAGTGGGAATAACACAAAGGGCTGTACCTGCTGTGATAATTTAGCAACCTAATCCCAGTAGGGGCTGGGCATCAGGTGAGTTTCAAAACAGAGATCCCAAACAATTAAGGTTCAGCGAGAATATTCCTAATTTTATTCACGTGTTTGCATTTCTTTACATTTTTATTTAAAACCCAATAGTGCTTTGTCATGTGTATGTGCTCATTTGCTTTGCCGAAGATACATCTTCCTAGAAAAAGTGAACCATAACTTTTTGCTGGTTAATTACAATCTATGGGTTTCAAGTTGGCCGCAAACCAAGGCCATCCCAAAGGAACCGATTGCCTTTTATATATGAGTTTCCTTCTTGTTACCTTAACAGCAGCAATTTGGATACAGTGCTATTTGTTTTAGGAATACTGATCTTGAGAATGCTCCAAATGGTAGTAAACATTGTGGCACTACATAGGCCCTTAGTTTTGAAGCAAGTATAATCTCTTGGAAAGAAAGTCAAATTAAAAACACAAATTATCCCAATAACTTTGTATACACTGTTGTCCTTCAGTACCTGTGCAGGAGGGGTTCTGGGACCATACTCAGACACTAAAATCCTGATGCTTAAGTGTTTGCATATAACCCATGTGCATCTTCCCTCCTGTATACTCTAAATCATCTCTAGATTACTTATAATACTTAATACAATGAAAATGCTATTTGTATTAGTCTGTTCCCGCATTGCTGTAAAGAACTATTGGCCAGGCGCGGTGGCTCACGCCTGTAATTCCAGCACTTTGGGAGGCCGTGGCAGGCGGATCAGCTGAGGTGAGAAGTTCAAGATCAGCTTTGCCAACATGGCGAAACCCTGTCTCTACTAAAATACAAAAATTAGCCGGGCATGATGGTGGGTGCCTGTAATCCCAGCTACTTGGGAGGCTGAGACAGGAGAATCGCTTGAACCAGGGAGATGGTGGTTGCAGTGAGCAGAGATCATGCCACTGCACTCCAGCCTGGGTGGCTAAGCGAGACTCCGTCTCAAAAAAAAAAAAGAAAAAGAACTATCTAAGACTGGGTAATTTATAAAGAAAAGAGGTTTAATTGGCTCACAGCTCCACAGGCTGTACAGGAAGCATGGCTGGGGAGGCCTCAGGAAACTTAGAATCATGGCAGAAGGCAAAGAGGAAGAGGCATGTCTTACGTGACTGCAGCAAGAGGAAGAGCGCAAAGGGGGAGGTGCTACACTTTGAAACAACCAGATCCCTCATGAACTCACTCACTATCATGAGAAAAGCTAGGGTGAAGTCCACCCCCATGATCCAATCACCTTCCAACAGGCCCCTCCTCCAACAGCGGGGATTACAATTCCTCGTGAGATTTGAGTGGAGACACAAATCCAAACCATATCATTGTAAATAGTTGTTATACTGTATTGTTTGTATTTTTTTTTTGAGACAGAGTCTCAATCTGTTTCCCAGGCTGGAGTGCATGGCGTGATCTCGGCTCACTGCAACCTCCATCTCCCAAGTTCCAGAAATTCTCCCGCCGCAGCCTCCCAAGTAGCTGGGATTACAGGCATGCCACCGCCATGCCCGGCTAATTTTTTGTTTCTTTTTTTAGTAGAGGTGTGGTTTCACCATGTTGGCCAGGCTGGTCTCGAATTCCTGACCTCAGGCAATCCTCCCGCCTCAGCCTCCCAAAGTGCTGAGATTACAGGCATGAGCCACCGTGCCCAGCCCTGTTTGTATTTTTTAATTGTTGTAGTGTTATCTTTAATTTGTTTAGAATATTTTTGATCTGCTGTTGGTTGAATCTGCAGATGCAGAACCCACTGATAGAGAGGGCTGCTGTACCACATTTTCCTTGGGTGTGTCTTGGTTTCCATGGAAACTGGAATTCTTCCCTGCCTTGGATCATAGGGTAGTCAGCACCAAGATAAGCAAACTATATGCCTTTTGAAGTGATTCATAGGGATTTTTTTTCCATTTATTTTGTAATTGGCTTTTTTCCTTTTTGCCATTTAGAAAAAACACTGGACTTGGCATCAGTTGACCTGCGGAAGATGAGAGTGGCAGAGCTGAAGCAGATCCTGCATAGCTGGGGGGAGGAGTGCAGGGCCTGTGCAGAAAAAACTGACTATGTGAATCTCATTCAAGAGCTGGCCCCCAAGTATGCAGCGACACACCCCAAAACAGAGCTCTGATCTCCAATGCCAGCACATTTGTGACTTGTAATTAGAGAGAAAAGTGACTCTCTAGGATATGGACATGTTGATTAAGGATAACTGGGAATGCATCATATTTGGTCTCATGCTTTTTGTGTTGGTATTATTCCTCAGAATTTTGTTACGTGGGTTTATGAGTGAAACTAATACTACTGATAACTTACATTTGCAGTGTACCAAAAGCTAAAAGTTCCTTTCTCATAAGTTTCTTGGAATGACTATGCCAGTTTTCATTGCCTGTCTCCTAAAAGTGACCTACTGACAAATTGATGGAGTAAATTGATTCCAAGAAAGAAGAAGGCATTCAGAGACTCCTCTCTGGATGCAATTTTAAAATATATTGGACTAAAACAAAAGACACAACAGTCAGCTTATCTAATGCACAACTTCAATCCCAAATACAGAATCAAAAGTTTTTTTCAAGTGAATTTTCTGTTTTCACTCTATATTGTAGCTCTCTTTGGTATCAGAAATGGTCAGGCAGGAGTACTCGTTTTTCCCATTGGAAGAAAACCCACTTAAACCTACTTAAAGAAAATAGAGAGATCAAGAAACCGTATAAGTATAGCCAATGTTTGGCAATTATATCAACATTTACATTGTTAATTGAACCAAGCTCAAGGTCTTTTTCATTCCTTACAGTCACATATCAGACAAGTTTTTGATGGAAGATTAAAGCATATTAAAAACACTCATAGGCAACTTGGAACTTTACCATTGTTAATGCTATTTTATCAGCTTTCGGTTGTAAAATCATCTTTGGTTCCATTTTCTGGCCACATAAGAATAAGAAACCCACAGTAGAAGTGTCCGCCTCTGTGTGGCAGGTACAGCTGGGGAATACTGAAAAAACATTTCCTTGGAACTTTCTGGAGTGATGGGAATGTCCTATATCTTGATTGACATGGGGATTACATGGGTTAATAACATTGTCATCTGGTAGGATAATTAAGATCTGGGCATTTTATTGTATGTACATAATATCTTTAAAAACTGCTGTAGAAAAATTATTTGGAAATTAACTAAAATTAATTAATTCAACACACCTTGTTTGCTAGGCACAGTGGCTCACACCTGTAATCCCAGCACTTCAAGAGGCTGAGGCGGGAGGATTGCCTGAGTCTAGGAGTTAGAGATCAGCCTGAGCAACAGAGTGAGGTTCCGTCTCCACCAAAAATTTTAAAATTAGCTGCGCATGATAGTGTGTACCTGTAGTCCCAGCTACTCGGGAGGCTGAGGTGGGAGGACTGCTTGAGCCCAGGAGGTGGAGTCTGTAGTGAGCTGTGATCCTGCCACTGCACTCCAGCCTGGGCAACAGAGCAAGACCCTGCCAGAATATATGAAAAAACAAACAAAAAAGCCCACCTTATTTATTCAAAGAATTGCATTTACTGGCTGGGGTTGTTTTCAGGGAGTGGAGGAGACATTTTCAGACTGAAAATATACATCGAAAACATAATTTTTAATTCTAAATGCTGCAGAGGTAAATGCATTTTCAGCTGGGAAGCTGATATGTCAGAGAGTTAGTGGTTCCTAAGGAAATATATATATGATGTAACTGAAAGGTGAGAATACAAAGCTGTGGTGTAATGAATGGTCAAAGTAATTATTGTTTCTGAATTTTGGCAGCTCGATTATCATTTGTAAAGCATCTACTTTATTTTGAATTATATCTTCAAAAAAACCAAAGTTTGTTTTTGGTTGTTTTTGTTTCTTTGAGACAGTCTCGCTCTGTTGCCCAGGCTGGAATGCAGTGGCACAATCTTAGCTTACTGCAAACTCAGCCTCTTGTGTTCAAGTGATTCTTCTGCCTCACCCTTCCGAGTAGCTGGGATTACAGGCGCCCACCACTATGCCCAGCTAATTTTTTTGTATTTTTAGTAGAGACGGGGTTTTGCCATGTTGGCCAGGCTGGTCTTGAACTCCTGGCCTCAAGCGATCCACCCACCTCAGCCTCCCAAAGTGCTGGGATTACAGGTGTGAGCCACGATGCCCGGCCTCTCCAGAGTTTTCTTTTCTAAACTTCTTATAACCTTTATATCTGTTTTTATTTTTGCATTTTGAACCTATCAAGAAATGTGTTGTTTGAAAATATTATGTTTGGTGTCTGACCTCAAAATCGGGTCGCATTTCTATGTCTTTTCTTCAGGATACAAATTGAGGTAATAGAAACAGTGCTCAGCCAGTCATTTGTATCCATGGTGTTTAGTCTGTTTTTTTTTTTTTTCTTTCTTTTTGGACAGAGTCTCACTCTGTCACCCAGGCTGGTATGCAATGGCGCTATCTCAGTTCACTGCAACCTTTGACTCCCAGGTACAACTGACTCTCCTGCCTTAGCCTCCCCAGTAGCTGGGATTACAGGCGTGCACCACCACACCTGGCTAATTTTTGTATTTTTAGTAGAGATCGGGTTTCACTATGTTGGCCAGGGTGGTCTCAAACTCCTGACCTCAAGCGATCCACCTGCCTCATCCTCCCAAAGTGCTGGGATTACAGGCATGAGCCACTGTGTCCGATCTAGTCTGTTTTTTTGTTTGTTTGTTTGTTTTAAAGAGAATTTACATCAGTGCTTCTCAAACTGCACATATGGTGTTTATCACAGCACAATTCACAATTGCAAAGATATGGAACCAACCTAAGTGCCCATCAACTGGTAAGTGGATAAAGAAAATGTGTTTGGCCGGGCGCAGTGGCTCACGCCTGTAATCCCAGCACTTTGGGAGGCCGAGGCGGGCGGATCACGAGGTCAGGAGATCGAGACCATCCTGGCTAATATGGTGAAACCCTGTCTCTACTAAAGATACAAAAAATTAGCTGGGCGTGGTGGTGGGCGCCTGTAGTCCCAGCTACTCGGGAGGCTGAGGCAAGAGAATGGCGTTAACCCGGGAGGCGGAGCTTGCAGTGAGCTGAGATTGCGCCACTGCACCTCAGCCTGGGCAACAGCGCAAGACTCTGTCTCAAAAAAAAAAAAAAAAAAAGAAAATGTGTTTATGTTATCAGGCATAACAAACATAATACAGCATGGAATACTACTTAGCCATCAAAAAGAACAAAATCATTCTTTTGCAGCAACTTGGATGGAAGTGGAGGCTATTATTCTAAGTGAAGTAACTCAGGAATGGAAGACTAAATCTGTATGTACAAACCTCTATGTTCTCACTTATAAGTGGGAGCTAAGCTATAGGGTAAGCAGAGACATAAAGAGAGGTATAATGGCCATTGGCGATTCAGAAGCAGGGAGAGTGGGAGGAAGGTAAGGGATAAAAAACTACATATTGGGTACAATGTATGCTACCTGGTGACAGGTGAGCCAAAATCTCAAACTTCACCACTGTACAATTCATCCGTGTAACCAAAAACCACTTGTACTCCAAAAGTTATTGAAATAAAAAATAAATAGCTGAAAAGTAAAAACAAAAACTGGGCGTAGAGGCAGTCTTGTTAAAGTAGGGGTTCTGATTCAGTGGGTCTGGGGTGGGGCCTGAGATTCTGCATTGCTAATGAGCTGCCAGGTGATGTCCACACTACCCTTCCAGGACCACGCTTTGAGTAGCAAAGGCCTAGGTCAAGGATCCTGCAACTGATACATACTTTTTTCCCTTTGCCAGTATCAACCTAAATAGTAAACAGAGAAAGGCTCTCTAAAAAAAGATGTTTGTTTTGGGAATAGAGCATTGCAATGGGAATACACAAGCCTTAGTAAACTATGCGTATTCAAGGGAGGTAAAGGAAGACAAAGGTTTTTAAAGATAAAAATGAGGGGCTGGGTGTGGTGGTTCACACCTGTAATCCCAGCACTTTGGGAGGCCAAGGCAGGTGGATCACCTGAGGTCAGGGGGTTCCAGACCAGCCTGGCTACCATGGTGAAACCCCGTCTCTACTAAAAATACAAAAAAATTAGCTGGGCATGGTGGTGCGTGCCTGTAATCTCAGCTATTGGGGGAGACTGAGGCAGGAGAATCGCTTGAACCCGTGAGATGGCGGTTGCAGTGAGCTGAGATCATGCCACTCTACTCCACTCCAGCCTGTGTGACGGAGCAAGACTCTGTCTCAGACAAAAAAAAAAAGAGGAGGATTGCATAATTGTTTTGAAATAATTATCCTTGACCACAAAGATCAATCACAAGAGTGATGCTAGTCTGAGTTTGGACAGATAGTCTCCGGGTCAATGCCCTTGCAGAAGAATTTTCTTGTGTGAAGTTGTGATGGCTTTTGTGGAGGATTATGATTTTTGCAGTCTTTTGTGATTGTTTATGTTATCAGGCATACAAGCCTGAGAACCCTCTTTTCATGGCCTCCCCCAGCTCTGTTTTCAGGGTTTTCTTACCATTTGTGACCCCATTCTGATTCTCATGACTTTCACACCAGTCTTGATCAGTTATGTTTTTGATAGAGTTGAATGTAACAATAACAACAGCAACAACAAAATGAAACAGAAAAGTACAAGAATTTATTCTCCCATGTAAAAGAAGTCCAGAAGTAGCCAGTCCAGGGTAAATATGGCAGCTCCACAGTTATTAGGGACTCAGCTTGAACTTTTTGCTTCCCATCCTAGTGGTGGGTTTCACTTCTAGCCCGTTGGCCTAGTTGGATGCTGCAATTTACTATTTCAGAAGGGAGAAGGCATGAAAGAACTTGCCTCTAACCCGAGCCCACTTCTTTTTTTTTTTTTTTTGTTCGAGATGGAGTCTGGCTCTGTGGCTCAGGCTGGAGTGCAATGGCACGATCTCGGCTCACTGCAACCTCCACCTCCCAGGTTCAAGCGATCCTCCTGCCTCAGCCTCCTGAGTAGCTGGGATTAGAAGCGCGCGTCACCACACCCGGTTAATTTTTGTATTTTTAGTAGAGACGGGGTTTCACCATGTTGGCCAGGATGGTCTCAATCCCCTCACCTTGTGATCTGCCCGCCTTGGCCTCCCAAAGTGCTGGGATTACAGGCAGGAGCCACTGTGCCCGGCTACTACTTGTTCTTGTTCTTGTTCTTTTTTTTTTTTTTTTTGAGACAGAGTCTCGCTCTGTTGCCCAGGCTGGAGTGCAGTGGCGTGATCTTGGCTCACTACAACCTCTGCCTTCCCGGTTCAAGCGGTTCTTGTGCCTCAGCCTCCCAAGTAGCTGGGATTACAGGTATCTGCCACCATGCAGGGCTAATTTTTTTTATTTTTAGTAGAGATGGGGCTTCACCATGTTGGCCAGGCTGATCTTGAACTCCTGACCTCAGTTGATCCACCTACCTTGGCCTCCCAAAGTGCTAGGATTACAGGCATGAGCCACCGCACCCGGCCCTGAGCCTTTCTTTAAGGGAGCCTCCCTCCCTCTACCTACCTCCACTCCCACCCTCATATCTCACTTAACACTCTGCTTATACACCATTGACCAGAGCTTTTTTATTAAAAAGGTTTTTTTAAAAAAAAATTTATTTTTAACTTTTAGGTTTGGGAGTACATGTGCAGGTTTATTATATAGGTAAACTTGTGCCATAAGGGTTTGTTGTCACTCAGGTATTAAGCCTAGTACCTAGTTATTTTTTCCTGATCCTCTCCCTCCTCCCAGCCTCCATCCTCCAACAGGCCCCCGTGTTTGTTGTTCCCTTCTTTGTGTCCATGTGTTCTCATTATTTAGCTCTCACTTCTCAGTAAGAACATGCAGTATTTGGTTTTCTGTTCTTGTATTAGTTTGCTAAGGATAATGGCCTCCAGCTAGCTCCATTCATGTTCCTGCAAAAGACATGATCTTGTTCTTTTTATGGCTGTGTAGTATTCCATGATGTATATGTACCATATTTTCTTTATCCAGTCTACCGTTGCTGGGCATTTAGCTTGATTCCATGTCTTTGCTATTGTGAAAAGTGCCATAATGAACATATACATGCATGTACTTTTTTTTTTTTTGAGACAGTCTCACTCTGTTGCCCAGGCTGGAGTGAAGTGGCATGCTCTCAGCTCACTGCAGTCTCTGCCTCCCGGGTTCAAGTGATTCTTGTGCCTTAGCCTCCCGAGTAGCTGGGATTACAGGCACACACCACCGAGCCTGGCTAACTTTTGTATTTTTAGTAGAGATGGGGTTTCACCATGTCGGCCAGACTGGGTCTTGAACTCCTGACCTCAAGTGATTCACCTGCCTCAGCCTCCCAAAGAGCTAGGATTATAGGCGTGAACCACTGTGCCTGGCCGAATGTGTCTTTATAATAGAATGATTTATATTCCCTTGGGTATCTACCCAGCGATGGGTTTGCTAGGTTAAATCACTGACCAGGACTTAATCACATGTCCAACTTGGCTGCAAAGGAGTTCAGGAAATAATATCTTTTGGTTGGGTTCATTGTTACCCAAATAAAATCATATATATATGATGAATATATATATGAATATGTATGAATATATATGTGTGTGTGTGTGTGTATATATATATATATATATATATATATTTTTTTTTTTTTTTTTTTTTTTTTTTGGTTACTGAGGAAGAAGGAGGAAATAGTCTGTGGCCACAAACCATCTTTGCCACACAGCATAAATTTTTCCTAACTCTGCATCTTAGTGATGATTCCTGGTTATGATACCCTCAATAAGTCTTGTTCCTCCTTGCTATTTGCATCTTCCATAGATGTAGGCAGTTACGCATTTCCTTCTTTTTTGATTTGATGAGAAGTAGCTACTATTTTTCCTTTTTAATTTTTAATCACTACTCCTCTCACTGTGCATGTGTTTGTGCGTATATGCATTTTTTATCTGTATTTCCCCCCCAAATCCATAAGCATACAAGATTTAGGAGTCGGACATTCTGACAAAAGTGTCAAAACTCTAGGCTAAAATACTTTCATCCAGCCCAGGCATGGTGGCTCACGCCTATAATCCCAGCACTTTGGGAGGCTGAGGTGGGAGGATTGCTTGAGCCCAGGAGTTTAAGATCAGCCTGGGTGACAGAGTGAGACCCCATCTCTACAAAAAATAAAAAATTACCTGGGAGTGAGTTGTGGTGCACACCTGTGGTCCTAGCTACTAGGGAGGCTGAAGCAGGAGGATCACTTGAGCCCAGGAAATCAAAACTGCAGTGAGTTGTGATCACGCCACTGCACTCCAGCCTAGGCGACAGAGCGAGACTCTATTTCAGACAAAACCAAACCAAAGAACAGAAACCTTTCATCTAAACAGTGTTACTGGTGGAGGGTCTTTTGACTGCAAGCTGTCCAGGTTCTTGGCGTTTTGAACAAAGAATTGGACAAAATACACAACAAAGCAAGGAAAGAATGAAGCAACAAAAGCAGAGATTTATTGAAAATGAAAGTACACTCCACAGGATGGGAACAGCCACAGCAAGCGGCTCAAGGGGCCCAGTTACATGATCTTCTGGGCTCCAAATACCCTCTAGAGGTTTTCCATTGGCCACTTGGTATATACCCCATGCAAATGAAGTGATGGCCCATGATCAGTCTGATTGGTTGCAGAAAGCAACCAATCAGAGGCTGAAATGAAGTTACAAAGTTACACTCCTATGCAAATGAAGTCTTGTCCTGCAAATCAGTCTGACTGGTTGCGGAAAGTAACCAATCAGAGGCTGAAGTGAAGTTACAAAGCTACACTCCTACGCAAATGTCTGATTGGTTGTGAGGAGCAACCAATCAGAGGTACTTTCAATTTTTCATCTGCCACCCAGAAAGGGGTGGGGGAGTTGTGGAGAGAGTAGCCTCTGGTCCTTTTGTTACTTAGGTGTGGAAAGTTGGGGTTTTCCTTTTGATCTAGTTCTAGGAAGTCAGCATGAATCGGCTTTAGGTTCCCTGCCTCCAAACCTTATTCTCCTGTCTCAACAGTAGTGGTCTGGGACAGGCATTATTCCAGATCTAGTCTAAATTTCAAAAATTCCAAGCAGAAGACCCTTTACTTTGGCTCTTACATAAACGTGGCAGACCAGATATAACATTTGGAGCACAATCTAAAATTGTAGTTTTTCATTTGGGTGTGGATAATCTGTAATACACATTCCACTAAAAAAAAGTTTTAAATTTAGACCAAATTAGCTTGGCATATAGCACAAGAAAATATTTAATGAGTGGATCCCTAAACAGGAGAGCATTTTGTGATCCAAAGGCCATATCTATGAGTTTGAACACCTCTTGATCAGTGTCATTTCTAAGCAGATGGATGTGCATTTTGATTTTGAGTCTCATCCAAAAGAAGTGATAGTCAGGTAGTCATTCTTCCACTGTGTGTTTAAAGTAGAACAGCAAAAGGGAAATCCTCTTGGGTGCACCATCATTATGCATTTAGAAACTTTTGATTAGTCACTATCATTTATTTTAGTTTCCCCTTTTTGTTTTAATATGGAAATCTTGAGTTTGTAGTATCAACAAGAGATTAAAATTACAATTGAAGTGCATCAGGTGATTCTTCCCTTGATAATAATTATTTTCTGGTAGCGCAAAACAAAGATCAACAGAAAAAGAAATGAGTAGCAGGTATTATGTGTCAACAGTTTGTTTTTGGTATGTTTCCACTGGCAGAAGTTTCGAGAATTGGGATCGAGCAGGCAGACCTGGGGCTGAATTTCCAACTCCCACCAGTGGGCTGTGTGAGATGAACAAACTAAAATTTTAGGTGTGGTAATTGACAGAGGTCAGGCAGCTCATTGTGAGTGAAACGGATCTGTTTGAAAGCACACACTTTAAATGTGGATTTTTTACCTCCAGGCCCAGTGGCTCTCAACCTGGGCTGTGTGTCAGAGGCACCTGGGGAACGTTTAAACGTCTCAAAGGCCAGGTCAATTACTTCCATTTGTGTGTGGTAGTCGGGAGGGGCGAGAGAGTCCCAGGTGTCAGTGTTTTGTTAAAGCTTCCCAGGTGATTCAGTGTGAAGCCAAGTTTGAGAACCACTGTCCTGGTGGTGACTTCGTATATGAAGCTCCACTTCTGTGGTTTTGCTCTCCCAAGGTTTGGTGGTTGACCTTGCAAACTTACATACATGGTCTGGTAAGTGGTGCATTTTCTGTGAACATATGCCTGCTTATTAAGATATCGTGAATTTTCTGTCTATGCTGAGTAATGGATGGATTAACCATATTTAGAACCAAAGAACGGCCGCCGCAGTGGCTCACGCCTGTGATCCCAGCACTTCAGGAGGCTGAGGAGGGAGAATCACCTGAAATCAGGAGTTTGAGACCAGCCTGGCCAACATGGTGAAACCCCATCTCTACTAAAATACAAAAATTAGCCAGGCATGGTGGTGGGCACCTGTAATCACAGCTACTTGGGAGGCTGAGGCAGGAGAATCGCTTGAACCCGGGTGGCAGAGGTTGCAGTGAGCCGAGACTGCGCCACTGCACTCCACCCTGAATGACAGAGCGAGGGCGGGGGTCGGGGGGAAGAACCAAAGAAGAAAGAAAAAGAGCACATAAAGACAGAAGACGGGCCCACAATCCGATTACCATAATCCTTGGAGCTAGATGTTCTTGGACTTAATAACTTTTCATAGTTTAGAAAGGGAATATGGGGCATATACCCCTATCGCACACCCTCCCTCCCCCACCATGAGGTTGGGGCAGCATCCTGTAACACCCTCCCGTGAATCCACATCAGCTTTTGTCACCAGAAGAATTCAGGTCACTTATTTAGTTATGTAAAAGAAGTTTTGATTTTCAGAGTTTTCTGGATTTCAGGATTTTGAATGAGAGGTTGTGGTGACACCCAGTCTGGGTGTCATCATCACTAACTGAGACTCTGGGCTTTTTTTGAGACAGAGTCTCGCTCTGTCACCCAGGCTGCAGTGCAGTGGCACGATCTCAGCTCACTGCAAGCTCCGCCTCCCGGGTTCCCGCCATTCTCCTGCCTCAGCCTCCTGAGTAGCTGGTACTACAGGCGCCAGCCACCATGCCCGGTGAACTTTTGTATTTTCAGTAGAGACAGGGTTTCACCGTGTCAGCCAGGATGGTCTCGATCTCCTCACCTCGTGATGCCCGCCTCGGCCTCCCAAAATGCTGGGATTACAGACGTGAGCCACCGCGCCCGGCCGACACTTTGGGCTCTTTTGCAAAACCTCTACCTCCCATCGTTCCATACACTGGTAAAAGTTGGAAGCCGGGCGCAGTGGTTTACGCCTGTAATCCCAGCACTTTGGGAGGCTGAGGCGAGTGGATCACGAGGTCAGGAGTTCGATACCAGCCTGCCCAACATGGTGAAACCCCGGCTGTACTAAAAATACAAAAAATTAGCCAGGCATGGTGGCACGCACCTGTAGTCCTAGCTACTCCGGAGGCTGAGGCAGGAAAATTGCTTGAACTCGGGAGGCAGAGGTTGCAGTGACCCGAGATCACACCACTGCACTCCAGCCTGAGTGACAAAGCGAGACTCTGTCTCAAAAAAAAAAAAAAAAAAAAGTTGGAAAGCACCTGGGCACCTGGGCCCTCAGAAACCAGGACTCAAGGTGCCTCACTTCTTTCTTTGGGCCACTTCCTTTCCTGGAGCATGGAGTAGGGTAAGCACGAACTACTCACCCAGGAAGTGTGCTCATCCTCTTGGCTTCTTTCCCCACACAGGTGTGTCAGCTGTGGTTTTTCCTCTTCAGGTCGCAGGAGCCAAGAAGCTGAAATGAGCAGCTGCTTCTCTTTTCTGCAGCCCCCACCCTCAGGACTCCTTTCTCATCAGACTAAAAAAGACTACCTTAGTCAGGCCGGGCCGTGGCTCGCGCCTGTAATCCCAGCACTCTGGGAGGCCGAGGCGGGCGGATCACGAGGTCGGGAAATGGAGACCATCCTGGTTAACACGGTGAAACCCCGTCTCTACTAAAAATACAAAAAATTAGCCGGGCTTGGTGACGGGCGCCTGTAGTCCCAGCTACTCGGGAGACTGAGGCAGGAGAATGGCGTGAACCTGGGAGGCAGAGCTGGCAGTGAGCCGAGATTGCGCCACTGCACTCCAGCCTGGGCGACAGAGCGAGACTCCGTCTCAAAAAAAAAAAAAAAAAAAAGACCACCTTGTTCAGACTCTGCAACCAACTGTCTGATAAGTCTCTCTACCTGCACTGTTTACAATCGACTGCAGAAGACGTTGTTGACAGAGCTCTAGCCTTTTTTCCTTTTGAATCTTTTAAGACCTATTTTGGAAAGAACGGATCAAATGTTGGCTCCTAGTGATGGAGCAGCTATAAATACATTCTGAGGGACCTTCGGCTGGGCAATTTCTAGCAGGCAGTAAACTTGCTCACCTGCTAGATAATAATATCTAAGAATGTATGTGTGTATCCCAGAAATCCAGGTGTTCCCCTCACTTCTAAACGTCTACTCCTGTCAGCTAAATATTTGCTTATAAATCTCCATTCTTCTGCAATCCTAAATGAATAGGAGATTCCTTGTTGCTTACAGAAATCCGGACTTATTTCCTTGCCAGATATTTACATGTTTTTGCCTCTCCTGAAAGTTTGTAGTGTCACAGCACCTTGACCTTGGGCAGTAAGTGCTCAAAAGTCTGGTTCAGACCCAGACTTTGAACATGACCTCTGTAGTCTGCTTGCTCTACGAGTTTGTTGGTAATTTCCTGAAGGTTCATTTTTTTTTTTGTTCTGAGACAGGGTCTCACTCTGTCACCCAGGCTGGAGTGCAGTGGTGTGATCTTGGCTCACTGCAACCTCTGCCTCGTGGGTTCAAGTGATTCTCCTGCCTCAGCCACCCAAGTAACTTGGATTACAGGCACGTACCACCACACCTGGCTAATTTTTGTATTTTTAGTAGAGACAGTTTTGCCATGTTGGCCAGGCTAGTCTTGAACTCCTGACCTCAAGTGATCTGCCACCTCGGCCTCCCAAAGTGCTGCGTTTACAGGTGTGAGCCACCGCGCCCAGCCCCTAAAGGTTCATTCTATTGGAAAATCTTGTTACTGTAATAATATTCTGAACATACAAAGATGGAAGTGGAAATAATAAGGTGGAAAGAGGACTGAATTGGAATTCGAATTCTAGGTTTGCCTGTGGGTAGTTGTGCTAACTGAGGTGGAGTTCTTCAACTTTCCTGGCCCTTGGTGTTTCATCTTAGAATGCAGTTAATGATGCCTACCTAATAAGGTTATTGTGAGGATTAAATGGAAAAATGTAAGTAACATATGTAACAGAGTACCTAGCATGGAGCAGACACCTCAGTAATATGAGCTGAATCTGAATGGTACTTTTCTTTTACAGACCCCATTGATTCTCTCAGCATTCTACATGAAGGCAAAGATGAGCATTGGCTCATCTCATAGCTGATGAAGTGAGGCAGAGGTGACATTTTTAGCAATATGTCCACCGAGGCCAGCAAATCAATTCAGGTCTCCTGAGTTGAATTTTTGTAACTTGTAGACTGAGAAATTCAGGGGTGACACTTGGGTGATTTGGAGCTAGGACTTTAAAGTGATCTTTGGGAAGCAGACACCATCACACTTCACACCTTTGAGTTCTTAAAGGGATTGCAAGAAACAGTAAAATATAAATGACCTAAGGAGATTGGAATTAAATAAATAGTAAATATAGTAAGTTAAAACCACAATGAAATACTACCTTACCCCAGCCAGAATGGCCATTATCAAAAAGTCAAAAAACAATACATGTTGGTATATATGTGGTGAAAAGGGAACACTTATACACTGTTGAGGGGAACGTAAATTAGCAAAACCTATATGGAAGACAGTATGGAGATTTCTCAAAGAATTTAATCCAGCATCCCACTACTGGGTAGACACCCAAAGGAAAAGAAGTCATTACGTTAAAAAGACACTTGCATTCAGATGTTTATCACAGAACAATGAACAATTGCAAAGATACAGAATCAACCTGAGTGTCCACCAACTAATGAGTGAATACATAAAATGAGATATATATGCATATACACACACGCACGCACGTGCACACACACACACGCACAAGAATATAACTGCAGCCATAAAGAGAACAAAATAATGTCTTTCGCAGCAACTTGGATGGAGCCAGAGGCCCTTAGTCTCAGTGAAGTAACTCAGCAAGGAAAAACCAAATACCTCATGTTCTCCCTTATAAGTGGGAGCTAAGGTGTGGGTATCCAGGGGCATACAGAGTGGTATAGTGGACATTGGAGACTCACAGGAAAGGGTTGGAGAGGGATGGAAAAAATCACTTATTGGGTACAATGTACACTATTCAGATGATGGTACACTAAAATCCCAGACTTCACCACTATCCAGTTCACCCATGTAACACAAAGCTACTTGTACCCCCAAAATATTAAGAGGTGAACATAATATGTGGCAGCTGTGATCAGTGGAGGGGTATCTCTTTTATCTGGGGTGACTTAGTATTTCTGAGCATCCTTTAATTTTTCACATCTCCACGATGTCATTACATCATGTGAGATCCAGGACAATTTAGGTCAACTGTTTGTCCAGCAACACAAAGAGTAATGAATGTCTTCATGGACCTTTTTATTGCAGGCACATAAATCAGTTCTCTGGAAACACCTGAGATATTGACTCATCAGGATATGTCTCTAGACTGCCTATTAAAACGCTTGCAACTCAGTAACCTAAAGTAAAGCATTTTGTGAGTTGTTTTATTTTTTTATTTTTTTATTTTTAGACAGAGTTTCACTCTTGTCCAGGCTGGAATGCAATGGCACGATCTCAACTCCTGACAACCTCTGCCTCCTGGGTTCAAGCAATTCTCCCATCTCAGCCTCCTGAGTTGCTGAGATTACAGGCACCTGCCGCCACACCCAGCTAATTTTTGTATTTTTACTAGAGATGGGTTTTCACCATGTTGGCCAGCCTGATCTTGAACTCCTGACAGGTGATCAAGCCACCTCGGCCTCCCAAAGTGCTGGGATTACAGGCATGAGCCACTGCACCCAGCCAAGTTGTACTTTTTTTTTAAAACTAGTTTGACTATTAGTCATTTTCCCATCTATCTTCCTTTTTCTATTAGGCACAAATATAATACATGAGAATGTAATAATCTATTCTATTTTGAAGGGTTCTTTTTCACTTGTTTAAATGGTTAGAAAACATAAGCATTGATTTTCTTTTCCTGTTTGCACAGTAGTATCACTTATTTTCCTCTAACCTATACTTATTGGTACACACCCTAAGTTATATATCTCTCTTCTGGAGGGAGAATAAATGGGCAGTACATTGCTTGGAAAAATCAATGGTTATCTATGGATGTGCTTTGGTTAAAAGCCTATTTAATGCCTTAATTAAATGTAGGCCTTCATGAGTAAACACCATATTGAAAAAACAAAAGGCCACTTAAGTGCTTTTACTAATCATTGCAGTTAATGGATTTTTTTTACACCTCTAAGAATGATGAATTAATGATTTAATATTTTTACTACACTTGACCTTGTCCAAAAGGCCAAGAAATGATGATTTTTATATATACATATATATACACATACATATACTTTTTTTTTTTTTTGAGACAGTCTCGCTCTGTCACCCAGGCTGAGTGCAGTGTCATGATCATGGCTCACTGCAGCCTCAACCTCCTGGGCTCAAGTGATCCTCACATCTTAAACTCCTGCGTAGCTGGTACTACAGGGGCATGCCACCATGCCTGGCTAATTTTTTATTTTTGGTAGAGATGGGCTCTCGTTATGTTGCCCAGTCTGGTCTGGAACTCCTGGATGCAAGCAATCCTCCCACCTTGGCCTCCCGAAGCTCTGGGATTACAGGCGTGAGCCACCGCACCCAGCCTTGAGTAACTTTTATTTAAAATCATTTTAAACTTACACAATATTTACAATTTCAAGAACAGTACATAGAAGTCCTGTATACCCTCCGCCAGATTCACCAATCATTATCATTCCCTCTTAATTTCCAAGCTCTTTTTCTATGTATACATTTTCTTTCCTCAACCATTTGAGACAATGTTGCAAAAAAAACCTGATACTCCATTAACTCTAAACACCTCAGTGTGTATTTTCTTAAAATAAGGACACTCCCTGCAAAGCCACCAGACACCTATCAAAATCAGGAAATTAACATTGATACAATACTATCTCCTAATCCATGGATGCCTACTCAAATTTCACTAATTAAAAAAAATTTAATTAAAATTTTTATTTTTATTTTCATAGCGATGGAGTCTCACTGTGTTGCCTAGGCTGGTCTTAAATTCCTGGGCTCAAGTGATCCTCCCACCTCGGCCTCTCAAAGTGCTAGAATTACAGGTGTGAGCCACCACCCCCAGCCAAATTTCACTGATTATCCTAATAATGGTCTTTGAGGTCCAAGATCCAATCCAGGGTCATGCATTGCATGCAGTTAGCATGTGTCTTTAGGCATCACCAATCTGGAAAAGTTATTCAGTTTGTCTTTGGTGGCTTTGACATTTTTGAAGCACAGGTCAGTTACTTTGAAGAATGTCCTCAATGTGAGGTTGTCTGACATTTTGTCATGATTAGATTCAGGGGTATTGCAGGACTATCACAGAAACGATGGTGTGTCCTTCCCAGAGCATATTATCAAAAGGCACACGATGGGCCAGGCGTGGTATCTCATGCCTGTAATCCCAGCACTTTGGGAGGCCAAGGCAGGCGGATCACGAGGTCAGGAGTTCGAGACCAGCCTGGCCAACATGATGAAACCCAGTCTCTACTAAAAATACAAAAATTAGCTGGGCGTGGTGGTGCGTGCGCCTGTAATCCCAGCTACTCGGGGGCTGAGGCAGGAGAATCACTTCAAACCGGAAGGTGGAGGTTACAGTGAGCCGAGATCGTGGCCACTTTACTCCAGCCTGGGCGAAAGAGCAAAACTCTGTCTCAAAAAATAATAATAATAATAATAAAAGCAGCACACGATGTTCATTTAACCTATTACTGGTAATGTTAACCTTTATCATTTGGTTAAGATGATGTCTGTCAGGTTTCTTCCACAGAAAAGTTAATAAGTATTTTGTGAAGGGATTTTAACAAGTATTAAGTATTGGTAAGAGTTGATAAGTATCCACTAAGATGTTAATAAGTGTTTTGTGGGGAGATAGTTTCAGACTGTATAAATATCTGGTTGTTTATTAAACCTCCATTCTTTGATTTTGGCATCCACAGATGCTTCTTACTGGAACCAATTATTAAGATGGTTGGTTAATTATATAATGCTGCCATTCCTTCTACAATTATTAGTTGGCATTCTACTATAAGGCACAGCATTCCCTTATTATTTATTTAAATTAGTAGGAAGTCATAGATTCCTATTTTATTGAATAAATTATAGTTCAGCATAATTACTAGCATTCTTTACTTTGAAGATCAAACTGACCCAGATTTGGCCAGTGACAGCCTTTCAAACTGACATCTGTGACTTTTCACAGTCCTCATCATTCTTGAACAACTTCCTGCCACGAGAAATTCCAAGCTTAGCTTGCATTTTCCCTGCCCTAGCCATGGAGTCAGCCATCCCCTCAAGGAGTGCTCTTATCTTTTAGTTGAGAATGGTGTTTAGAAACCAATATTAGGCATTAAAGGTGGTCAGTGCTACAAGAGTGTCATTGATCCCAGACCCTCTGAGTGAGGACAACTATATACACACGTGTACACCCATGTATATATTATCCATATCTACACATTTTGGAAATGCTGCATTCACAATTATTGCCCTCCAATGACAGTCCAACATCACATAATTTATTCCAGTCTTCCCTTCTGCATATTTGTACCTCCCTTCAACAATGAGAAAGCTGGCTGCCATTATCCTCAATGTACTTGATTCATTCTTTAGGATGCAACCAATCTCCCACATTCATTGTGGTTGTCCTAGCCCCAGAGCTTCTGACACTCATTGGCCGGTGCAGGTCAAGAGCCAATGGTTCTTGACTATTTTACTGAAGGGGGTTTTACTCATGGTTAAGTGGCATGGTAAAATAGCAAAGATTCATTCAAAACAATGTGGTGGAGTGTGATGTGTCTGCAGTCAGAATATCAAATTTACATGATAGCTGTGCCACCTGCTAGCCATGCAACCCTGGACAAACTAGATAACCTCCTGTAGTCACTAAGATACTTCTCTTCAAAGAGAGGCCATAGCAGGGAGAGATCAAGTCATCCTGCTGCTTCTTGCTGACTGGGGCATAGATCCTGAGTCTCAGACCCCCTCCAGTCAAATATCCGTTTGTAATGAGCGGCAACTTTCAGCTAGAGAGTGGAAGAGGCTTCAAGCAGTGTGTGGCTGCACCAGCTGGTGGGGAGGGAAATATTAAAGGGGCTTGCCTAGACATCAACCCACTTGGGATAACTCTCACCCACTGCAGAATAATGTACATCTGGGGCCTCAGTTTCTTTGTTTGCAAACTAAGAATGGTCATGTGGGCTTCCCCACCTTAGAGAATTGTGTGAAGATTAAAAGCTAATGTTCTTTGGTGCATGAAGTTGGAAATATTTAAATAATACTTCCTACTCCCCCCTACAATCCCTTTAAAAAAATAATACATATTCACTGTAGAAAGCCCACTAGTAATCCATGCTTGTAATTCCAGCGCTTTGGGAGGCCCAGAAGGGAGGATCATTTGAGGCCAGGAGTTTGAGATCAGCCTGGGTAGCATAGCTGTAACCTGTGTTTACAAAAATTAAAAAATAATAAAATTGGCCAGGCATGGTGGCTTGAGCCAGGAGGATTGTTTTAGTCCTGGAGTTCAACACTGCAGTGAGCTATGATCACGCCACTGTACCCTGGCCTGCACGATAGAGCAAGACTCTGTCTCTAAAAAAAATTTTTTTATTAAAAAAAAAGAAAACCCAGATAAGCAAAAATAAGATAGTAGCCATCACTGGTATTCCCCCTACGTCAAGATAACAGTCGTTTACATTTTGGAATAGATTCTTTCAGTCTTGTTACTATGCCTATCAGCTATAAATCCTTAATGCTGTTGAGTTCCCACTCTCTTCTGTTTCTGTGCAAAGTAAGGACCGGATTCCCTCTGGATGTCATTGCCTGACTCTCCTGAGCCTCTCGCTGGCTGGCTCCAGCCGTGCAACATCCCCACAACACATTTGGCAGGCAGGCTGGGTCCATGTGTGCACTGTGTGGGTGGTGCACCATGCACTCCTCCTGGTGGGCACTTCTGGGCAATTCCTCCCTCACAGGAGGCCCTTCTTCCTTCCCAGGTGCAGAAGGCCAGGGAGCAGGTTTCCTCACTCTTTGATCATAACTAGTCGTTTACTGCGGAAGCTAGCTGGAGCCCAGACCCCAAGGGAAACAGCAGTACAAATCTTTCCTATTCCAGTGCTACTCATTGAAACTTCTCTGGCAAACATGGCTCTAGAATAGATTCAGAGGATGTAGGGGGATGTAGGTGTGAACTCTGGGTGGGAGATCTTAGCTCTAGGAGACGTACACACATTAACTCATGGACATCCTATTCCTCTGCCCTTTCTTTGATGTTGACCCAGCTTGTCACCTGGTCCATTAACTACATGCTTGATCATTTTGTAAATATTTTCTGTATTCTCAAAGATTACAAAACATGTATGAGTGCCTGAGGAGAAAAAGTTTGGGGGGTGGTGGCTACGTGTAAATGTTAGCTGCTTTTTCTCAGCATTTTCACCCCACAACCAATGCAAGGATACGCATCCAAGTTCAAGTTTATTTTGCATCTCTGAAAATTTCCGCTGAGGATGCACAGATGTTCCCATCACGCATGTCCATTGGGACTCACCAGCCCAGGTACTGTCATCTTCATAGGTTCATTCGTTTAATACACATGTTAATATGTGGTAGGTGTTTTGCCCAAAATTTGGTCTTTAGTGCCTGTTAATGATTTAAAATTTCATTTTGAGAGATTTGAGATCTTTGTGTCTGGAAGGTTTTATTCATCAAAAAGAAAGTGTCTGATGAAAACACAGATGAGAGCCAGGTGTGGTGGGGCATGCCCGCTCAGAAGGAGGCAGGAATAATGTCCTAGAGGCGGTGAGAAGGAATGAGCATAAGCTGATCACTACCTAACAAGAGACAGAGTCAAGTCTGAGGGACCAATGGCAAGGAGGTTGGTAGGTTTTGTGGGGAAAGTGGGAGATGTTCTCTCATAATCAATTCTGTTTTCTCAATTGGACTAAAGCTCATCAGCTGAGAGGGAGGACCAGGGGAAGGTGTCCCAGCTGCTCAGGAGGCTGAGGTGGGAGGGTCACCTGAGCCTGAAAGTTAGAGGCTGCAGTGGGCTATGGTCTCATCACTGCATGCCAGCCTGGGAGACACAGTAAGAGCATGTCTCTAAAAAAATTAAAACGAGACAAAAAACCCCATAATGACCCTTGGGCTTTGTCTGTGAGTGTCTTGCTGTGTATTAGTTGATACTGGATCAGGGTTAATGCCTACATGGAGTGGAGGCCACCAAAGGACATGTGGAAAGTGCCCAAGGAGGAACTAAAACCAAGTTTCATCTCAGCACCTTTGCAGAGTTTTCTGATTTTTGTCCTATGACAAGCATTCAGATGTAGCTCACTTGTTTTATTTAAATCTATCACCCCTCTCCACCCCACACCATTTCCTTACTTACCTTCTCACCAAGATTAGCAGTGCTATAATCACTGCTTTGCATAAATCTCAAATTCTTTGCTCCTGCCCAGTACTCTCCTGGCAAACTCTGATGAAAACTACCTCTGGCCTGCTCTGCCCCTGCTCCTGAGCAGCTGAATGTGTCTGGAGAAAAGCACGAAGACAGTTTCATACTAACCAGAGGCTATCAACCTCCAGGAGCCCTCAATACCTCTGGTAGACTTATATCATTTCTCTAGTCAATCAACTCTTCTGTACTCAGAGGTGACCATTTCACATCTTCTGTCCTTTCCTGATGACACCTTCCCCTGGTCCTCCCTCTCAGCTGATGAGCTTTAGTCCAATTGAGAAAATAGAATTGATTATGAGAGAACATCTCCCAATTTCCCCACAAAACCTACCAACCTCCTTGCCATTGGTCCCTCAGACTTGACTCTGTCTCTTGTTAGATAATGATCAGCTTATGCTCATTCCTTCTCACCGCCTCTAGGACATTATTCCTGCCTCCTTCTTTCTCCTCTATCCTTGACTTCCTTCCTTCATTTGGACATTCCCATTAACACCAAATATGCTGTATTATTTCCCACAAACAAAAACCCAAATCCCAAACTTCCCCAAACCCCCACTATTACCCCGTATCTCTGCTCTCCTTAATAGCAACATATCTTGAAAGAATTGTCTCTAGCTCTTTACTTTTTTTCCTCTCTCTCTCTTTTTCCATTTTTTCTCTCTCCATTTTTTTCCTCTCTCTTTCTTTTCTTCTTTTTTTGAGAGAGGGTCTTGCTTTGTTGTGAGAGACTGGAGTGCAGTGGCTTGACCATAGCTCACTATAGCCTTGACCTCCCAGGCTCAAGGGATCCTCTTGCCTCAGCCTCCCCTGGCCTGCAGGCTGGCACCACCACTTCCAGCTAATTTTTTTAAAATTTTATGTAGACAGGGTCTCACTATATTGCCCAGGCTGGTCTCGAACTCCTGGTCTGAAGCAATCTTCCCACCTTGGCCTCCCAAAGTGCTGGGATTATAGGCATGACCCACTGTGCCTGGCCACAATTTTCTATACTATGGGATAATAATATCTTATCTAAAGACATATTATTTTCTAAAATGTAGGCAAGAAGCCCTTTGCTTTATATTCTTCTGTGAGCTTCAAGTTCTCCCCTTTGCCTCACAGGAATGATAGATTTTATATTTTAAACTAAAATTTGAGCTGTAAATAGTTTCAGGGAGAAAGATTGAAGAATATGGAGGTTTTTACTTTTTATGTGGCCTTGTTTCCTATGCAGTTCCATTTTCTGAGTACATCTATTGCTTTCATTAAAACATGTTGACAACAGTAATCTGAGCATGTAAATGAAGAGCCAGTTTTGCTTATTTTTCCTTTTTAATCTCTCCAAATTAAAAACCTAATAAATGTTTTGTTTTAAATAAAATACATAACTGAAATGTTATACCCACTAAACGACGATTCTCCATTTCCCTCTCTCCCCAGTCTCCAGCAACCACTTTTCTACCCTCTGCTTCTGTGATAATCTTTTAAATACCCCCATGTAAGTGGAATCACAGAGTATTTGTCCTTCTGTGACTGGCTTATTTCACTAAACATAATGTCCTCCAGGTTTGCCCATGTCGTCACATCTGGCAGGATTTCCTTCTTTTAAAAAGCTGAGTAATTTCCCATTGTATGTATATACCACATCGGCTTTGCCCATTCATTCAATGATGGACATTTATGTTGTTTCCATATCTTGGCTTTTGTGAATAATGCTTCAGCGAACACAGAAGTGTGGAGATCTCTTCAACATCCTGATTTCAGTTCTTTTGTTTATATACCCAGAAATGGGATTACAGGATCATATGGTAGTTCTATTTTTAATTTTCTGAGGAACCACCGACTTTTTAAATAGTAGCTGCCCCATTTTACATTCCCAAGAGTGTGTGAGGGTTCCCTTTTCTCTGCATCCTTGACAACACTTGTCTTTTGTCTTTTTTACAATAGCCATCCTAACAGGTGTGAAGTGATATCTCATTGTGGTTTTGATTTGCATTTGCCTGATGATTAGTTATGTTGAACACGTTTTCATATACCTGTTGGCCATGCATATGTCTTCTTTGGGGAAGTGGCTATTTAAATCCTTTTCCCATTAATTTATTTTTGCGATTGAGTTTTAGGAGTTCTTTATATATTTTGGATATTAACCCCTTATCACATAGATGGTTTGCAAATATATTCCCCATTCTGTGGGTTGCCTTTTTATTTTGTTGATTGTTTCCTTTGCTGTGCAGAAATATTTTAGTTTGATGTAATCCCACGTGTCTATTTTTGCTTTTGTTCCCTGTGATTTTGGTATCACATCCAAGAAATCATTGCTAAGACCCATGTCAAGAAGCTTTCGTCCTGTGTTTTCTTCCAGGAGTTTTACAGTTTCGGGTCTTACATTTAAATGTTTAAAACAGTTTGAGCTGATTTTCATGTGTGGCATGAGTCCATTTTCATTCTTTTACATCTGGATATTTGGTTTTCCCAATACTGTCTGTGGAAGAGACTTGTCATTTTCCCGTTGTGTATTCATGGCACTCTTGTTGAAGATCAGTTGACCACAGATGTGTGGGCTTATTTCTGGGCTCTCTATTCTGTTCCATTGGTCTATGTGTCTATCTTTTTTTTTTTTTTTGAGATGAAGTCTTGCTCTGCTGTCCAGGCTGGAGTGCAGTGGCACAATCTCAGCTCACTGCAACCTCTGCCTCCTGGATTTAAGCAATTCTCCTGTGTCAGCCTCCTGAGTAGCTGGGACTACAGGTTCATGCCACCACACCCAGCTAATTTTTTGTATATTTAGTAGAGACGGGGTTTCACCATATTAATCAGGCTGGTCTCGAACTCCTGACCTTGGGTGATCTGCCCGCCTCAGCCTCCCGAAGTGCTAGGATTACAGGCATGAGCCACCACGCCCGGCCTACGTGTCTATCTTTATGCCAGTATCACAGTGTCTTAATTACCACATCTTGGTATTACATTTTGTAGAAAGTACGATGCTTCCAGCTTTGTTTTATTCCACAATATTGGGATATGTTGTGGTTCCAGATAAATTTTAGGATTTGTTTTTCTATTTTAAAAAAAAATGCCTGAGGGATTTTGATGGGGATTGTATTGAGTCTGCAGATTGCTTTGGATTATATGGACATTTTAACAAAATTCCAATCCACAAAAATTGTGAATTTGAGTCACATTTTTAAAAAAGCATTATTGGCTAACGGACTCTTGTATTGCAGCCTCTACTTAGTGCTTCTTTTTTATCTGGTAAGTCCAATGACTACTGTTGACGAGAGATAAGATTTACTCTTTCAGGAGAAGATTTGGCAATTTTAAGAAACTTGAAAAGTTTTATCTTCTTTGTGCTGGTATCTTGATGGAATAATCTAAAATAGAGGGGAAAGAGAAATCATAAAGATTATCTTTCTCCTATAGGGAAAAGGCTGTATTCATGAAAACTCTTTCTCTGTTCTAGTGAAAAGCAGAGAGTAGCTGTACAACACACACCAGGCAGCCACTGAACACAGTGATTTGAGGACCTTGTGGAAGCATAAAATACACTATAATAAGCAAGGAAAATAGGATTACTAAATTGTATCTATAGTACTCTGTTATAGACTAGAAATTATGTTACTCCTAGGATGGTGGAATTATAGGTTTTTTTTGAGACAAGGTCTCACTCTGTCACCCAGGCTGGAGTGCAGTGGTGTGATCTCAGCTCTCTGCAGCCTTGACCTCTCAGGCTCAAGTGATCCTCCCACCTCAGCCTCCTGAGTAGCTGGGACCACAGGTGCATGCCAGCATGGCTGGCTAAGTTTCTGTATTTTTTTGTAAAGACAGGGTTTTGCCATGTTACCCAGATTGGTCTTGAACGCCTGGGCTTAAGCGATCCGCCCACCTTGGCCTCCCAAAGTGCTGGGATTACAGGCATGAGCCACTGGGCTCCGCCTTTAACATTTTTAATATCCATTTTCCAAGATTGTGTATGATTAAGTATATAATAAATAACTTGTAAATTTACTAGATATATCTAATACTTAAGAAAGTGGGGCCAGGAGCGGTGGTTCATGCCTGTAATCCTAGCACTTTGGGAGGCCAAGGCGGGTGGATCACCTGAGGTCAGGAGTTCGAGACCAGCCTGGCCAACATGGTGAAACTCCATCTCTACCAAAAATACAAAAATCAGCCAGGCGTGGTGGCATGCTCCCGTAGTCCCAGCTACTTGGGAGGCTGAGGCAGGAGAATCACTTGAACCCGGAAGGCAGAGGTTGCAGTAAACTGAAATCGCACCACTGCATTCCAGCCTGAGGGATGGAGTGAGACTCCATCTCAAAAGAAAAAAAGAAAAAAAAGAAAATTAAGTTACTATTATAGTTGGATGGGGGATGTTCATGGTTTTATTTTTAGCTGTCATCCTGTTATCGTCTTAAGCAACATGACATCACAAAGGAATAGACACAGTTTAAGGGAACTTTAGTAGCTTATCTTATGTCTGAAATGTCTTGGTTTCAAATATTTCAGAATTTTCTCTTCATGTCCTGTCTTAGTTCGGGCTGCTGTAACAGAACGCTATTGACTGGGTGACTTAATGACAAACTTTAGTTTTCATAGTTCTGGAGGCTGGTGGTCCAAGATCACGGTGCTGGCAGATCTGGTGTCTGGTAAGGGCTCTCTTCCTGGTTTGGAAGATGGTCATATTGTATGTAAAAATGAAAATAAATAAACACATAATAAATCTCTAAAAAATATATATTTAAAATTAGGTTAATTTTAATATTTTAGGAACAGAAAATAGAGTGAATAGTTATTGATTTTTATTCACATTATCTGCTAAAGAGTTTATTTGCATATTTGGAGTATGAAAGTTGGGATTTGCTAGCCTTCCTTTGATTATATTTTCCTTTCCTCTCTTGATGATAGTTTCAAGCGCATAGACTTCCTTATGACCTTGGTCACAATGGGTAACATCTGAAACTAGGTCTGCTAATGTGTGAGTGAAGGTAAATAGGTAACCTGACTGAGATGTGGACCAAGATCCAAAAAGGGTAAACCAATGGAGCACTTTGTCATTTTCTTTTTTTTTTGTTTTTATTATTATTATACTTTAAGTTTTAGGGTACATGTGCGCAACGTGCAGGTTTGTTACATATGTATACATGTGCCATGTTTATGTGCTGCACCCATTAACTCGTCATTTAGCATTATGTATATCTCCTAATGCTATCCCTCCCCCCTCCCCCACCCCACAACAGTCCCCGGTGTGTGATGTACCCCTTCCTGTGTCCATGTGTTCTCATTGTTCAATTCCCACCTATGAGTGAGAACATGTGGTGTTTGGTTTTTTGTCCTTGCGATAGTTTGCTGAGAATGATGGTTTCCAGCTTCATCCATGTCCCTACAAAGGACATGAACTCATCCTTTTTTATGGCTGCATAGTATTCCATGGTGTATATGTGCCACATTTTCTTAATCCAGTCTATCATTGTTGGACATTTGGGTTGGTTCCAAGTCTTTGCTATTGTGAATAGTGCTGCTATAAACATACGTGTGTGTGTGTCTTTATAGCAGCATGATTTACAATCCTTTGGGTATATACTCAGTAATGGGATGGCTGGGTCAAATGGTATTTCTAGTTCTAGATCCCTGAGGAATCGCCACACCAACTTCCACAATCGTTGAACTGGTTTACAGTCCCACCAACAGTGTAAAAGTGTTCCTATTTCTCCACATCCTCTCCAGCACCTGTTGTTTCCTGACTTTTTAATGACTGCCATTCTAACTGGTGTGAGATGGTATCTCATTGTGGTTTTGATTTGCATTTCTCTGATGGCCAGTGATGATGAGCATTTTTTCATGTGTTTTTTGGCTGCATAAATGTCTTCTTTTGAAAAGTGTCTGTTCATATCCTCCACCCACTTTTTGATGGGTTTGTTTGTTTTTTTCTTTTAAATTTGTTTGAGTTCATTGTAGATTCTGGATATTAGCCCTTTGTCAGATGAGTAGATTGCAAAAATTTTCTCCCATTCTGTAGGTTGCCTGTTCACTCTGATGGTGGTTTCTTTTGCTGTGCAGAAGCTCTTCAGTTTAATTAGATCCCATTTGTCAATTTTAGCTTTTGTTGCCATTGCTTTTGGTGTTTTAGACATGAAGTCTTTGCCCATGCCTATGTCCTGAATGGTATTGCCTAAGTTTTCTTCTAGGGTTTTTATGGTTTTAGGTCTAACATTTAAGTCTTTAATCCATCTTGAATTAATTTTTGTATAAGGTGTAATGAAGGGATCCAGTTTCAGCTTTCTACATATGGCTAGCCAGTTTTCCCAGCACCATTTATTAAATAGGGAATCCTTTCCCCATTGCTTGTTTTTGTCAGGTTTGTCAAAGATCAGATAGTTGTAGATATGCGGCATTATTTCTGAGGGCTCTGTTCTGTTCCATTGGTCTATATCTCTGTTTTGGTACCAGTACCATGCCGTTTTGGTTACTGTAGCCTCATAGTATAGTTTGAAGTCAGGTAGTGTGATGCCTCCAGCTTTGTTCTTTTGGCTTAGGATTGACTTGGCGATGCGGGCTCTTTTTTGGTTCCATATGAACTTTAAAGTAGTTTTTTCCAATTTTGTGAAGAAAGTCATTGGTAGCTTGATGGGGATGGCATTGAATCTATAAATTACCTTGGGCAGTATGGCCATTTTCACGATATTGATTCTTCCTACCCATGAGCATGGAATGTTCTTCCATTTCTTTGTATCCTCTTTTATTTCCTTGAGCAGTGGTTTGTAGTTCTCCTTGAAGAGGTCCTTCACATCCCTTTTAAGTTGGATTCCTAGGTATTTTATTCTCTTTGAAGCAATTGTGAATGGGAGTTCACTCATGATTTGGCTCTCTGTTTGTCTGTTATTTGTGTATAAGAATGCTTGTGATTTTTGCACATTGATTTATTATCCTGAGACTTTGCTGAAGTTGCTTATCAGCTTAAGGAGATTTTGGGCTGAGATGATGGGGTTTTCTAGATATACAATCATGTCACCTGCAAACAGGGACAATTTGACTTCCTCTTTTCCTAATTGAATGCCCTTTATTTCCTTCTCCTTGTTTCAAACACAAAGATATATTTAAATCCTGGATACCCGAGACAAATTTAGAAAAAGGTACATTACTACTAAGAAAATAAAGAGTAAGATTTTGAATTTATTCATTCATGGGGATGACAAGCAGTTTTTTTTTTTTTTTTGAGACGGAGTCTCGCTCTGTTGCCCAGGCAGGAGTGCAGTGGCGGGATCTCGGCTCACTGCAAGCTCCGCCTCCCGGGTTCACGCCATTCTCCTGCCTCAGCCTCCCAAGTAGCTGGGACTACAGGGGCCCGCCACTACGCCCGGCTAATTTTTTGTATTTTTAGTAGAGACGGGGTTTCACCATTTTAGCCGGGATGGTCTCGATCTCCTGACCTCGTGATCCGCCCACCTCGGCCTCCCAAAGTGCTGGGATTACAGGCTTGAGCCACCGCGCCCGGCCACTGACAAGCAGTTTTAAATGGTGATAGAAAATGGCCGTAGAGAGTGAGTGAAGAGCAGGAGGCGTATCAGCAGTCAGCAGATAATTGAGAGAATCACATTTATTTTTTGTTTGTTTTTTTGAGATGGAGTTTCCCTCTTGTTGCCCAGGCTGGAGTGCAATAGTGTGATCTCAGCTCACTGCAACCTCCACCTCCCGGGTTCAAGCGATTCTCTTGCCTCAGCCTCCCAAGTAGCTGGGATTACAGGCATGCACCACCATTCCTGGCTAATTTTGTATTTTTAGTAGAGACAGGGTTTCTCTATGTTGGTCAGGCTGGTCTCGAACTCCTGACCTCAGGTAATCCACCCGCCTCGGCTTCCCAAAGTGCCGGTATTACAGGCGTGAGCCACAGCACCCGGCTGAGAGAGTCACATGTTTGAGGAGATGGAACAGTACAGGTGAAAGGTTTTGGTGAAAGGTTTGCCTCCCTGTTGCAAAGATACGTGTAGTTGCCTTTAGGGCCCACTTGGATAATGCGGGATAATCCCCCATCTCAGGATCTTTAACATAATCATACCTGCAAAGTCTTTGCCATAGAAGGTCACATTTGGAGATTCCAGGGATAAAGACATGAGACTTTGGGGCCATTATTTAGCTAGCCTACTAAACCCCCCAAATCTATCTACAGATTCAGTGAAATTCTGTATTGTAAATATTTTTAAATTTTCTGTATGTTATGATGTCATGACATATTTTAAAAAAGGTTCAGGCAAGGGAAAGACTGACTCCCTCAGGGCCAGCCAATTCTTAAAAAATATCAAAAGGCTCAGTTAGCAGCACTTTTTTTTTTTGAGACGGAGTCTCACTCTATTACCCAGGCTGGAGTGCAGTGGCATGATCTTGGCTCACTGCAGCCTCTGCCTTCCTGGTTCAAGCAATTCTCGTGCCTCATCAGCCTCCTGAGTAGCTGGGATTACAGATGTACACCACCATGCCGGCTAATTTTTGTATTTTTAGTACAGACAGGGTCTCACCATGTTGGCCAGGCTGGTCTCAAACTCCTGGCCTCAAGTGATCCGCCCACCTTGGCTTCCAAAAATGCTGGGATTATGGATGTGAGCCACCACGCCTGGCTAGGAGCACACTTTTGATATGCAAACTAATTAACCCAGAGCCACACTTCTTTTATTTAGACCATATACCCAGGAAACAATATTCCTCTACCTTGATCATCCTGGGTCCAGGGACCAGGCAGCTAGAGACCACTCCTGCAGCCCAAAGCTGCTCAAATTCATCAAACTAGCCAACCCTAAACAGTGCACCCTGCCATGTCTTGCCTTTCCTGGGGAAGCCCTACTAACAGCAGTGGCCTCAACTTTCCCCTGGCTCCTGTGTTTTGTGCCTGATCACTCTGGTGTCTTTCCCAAGTGGCCCTGTATAGCCTCCTGTCTCCAGGACCTGTGAACATAATAAACATTGTTTTGCTAAGCTTTGCCTGGCTCTCCTCTTGTGACTGACCATCTCATAAAATAATTACAAAGCAAATTCCAATCAAAATCCTGGGAGAATGTTTTTGGTAGAAATTGACAGGCTGATTGTACATTTGTATGTAATTGTAAAGGACCTAGAGTGGACAAAATAATGTTGAAAATAAAGAACAAAGTGGGAGGACTCTCACTACCTCATTTCAAGACTTATTTTAAAGCTACAGTCATCAAGACAGTGTGGTATTGGCATAAATTTAGACACACAGATCAACGGAACAGAGATGAGTCCAGAAAGAGACTCAAACACGCGTGGTCAATTGATTTTTCACAAAAATGCCAACAGAATTCAAAGGAGAAAGAATAGTCTTTCCAACAAATGATGCTAGAAGAATTAGACATCCATGAGGAAAAACAACTAAAATGCTATTATCTGGTGAACAGGTAAACAAATTGTAGCGTACCTAAACAATGGAATCCTACTGACCGATAAAAAGAAAGAAAACCACTGATCAAACAACATGATGAATCTCAAAAGCTAAATGAAAAGCTAGGCACAGAAGACTATATATTACATGATTCCATTGTTATGGAATTGTAGAAAAGGCAAGACTATATCTACAGAAAGATCAGTGGTTGCCAGAGCCAAGGCATGGGATTAGGAGATTAGCTGACAAGAGGCATAAGGGAAGTTTTGACGATGATGATAACATTTTGTATCTCAATTGGGGTGGTGGCGATGTGATTTCCGTCATTTATCACAACTCAAAACAAACACTTCAAATTGGAAAATTTTAGTTGTATGTAAATTGTAATTTTTTTTTTTTTTGAGACAGGGTCTTACTCTGTCACCTAGGATGGAGTGCAGGTGCAATCTTGTCTTACTGCAGCCTTGACCTCCTGGGCTCAAGCAATCCTCCCACCTCAGCCTCCTAGAGTAGCTGGTAGAGCTACAGGCACATACTACCACTCCTGGCAATCTTTTTTTTTTTTTTACTTTTGGTAAAGATAGGATTTTCCTATCATTCCCTGGTCTCGAACTTCTGGGCAATCTTTCTAACTTGGCCTCACAAAGTGCTGGGATTACAGGTGCAAGCCGCTGTGCCCAGCTGAACTGTAACTTAATAAAATCATATTTTAAAAGACCAGTCACAGTTTGGATGCATACTATGGTTACCTAACAGTTTCTTTCTTTTTTTGTGTTTGAACTCATGTAATTGATTTCAACTCTTTGCCTGGAGATTCTTGTTTGACACAGACCGAAGCCTCTTGTTTATTACTATTCCTTTGATTATAGCAATTTTAAAATATTCTACTTGTTGCTGTCTAGGATTTAGTAAATCCTATATCACAGTCAACTGGGAAGTGTCTGAGGAAAGCAGTTCTTCAGAACTAGCTGCCTATATATCTACCTAACCCTAAACCTCTGCACCCATCAGGAGCAGATGATAGGGCTGGCCATTCTTCATTTCATATAATGTTGGGTTCAGCTTTCACAGCACCTTTTATTTGAGGCGCTGTCGTTATTCATCCAGTGCCGCCTAAGAACCCTCAGGACAAAGCTTATATTTTCAGCGTGGTGAAGAAGAACCACCTTCATCTACCTGCAGCTGACTTCTGTGAGTTCCATTTCTCATCTCTCCTACCTTTCGGCCATATGAAAGGCTGGCCATGTCCCAAGGGAACTTTGCTTTCTCTTGCTTCCAGGCCTCATCTCGTGCTTCCCTTTCTATCTGGAATGTCTTTCTTTCTTGATATGGTTTTGCTGTGCCCCCACCCAAATCTCACCTTGAATTGTAGCTCCCATAATTCCCATGTGTTGTGGGAAGGACCCGATGGGAGATAATTGAATCTTGGGGGCAGTTTTCCCCATACTGTTCTCTTGACAGTGCATAAGTCTCACGAGATCTGATGGTTCTCTAAGGGGAAACCCCTTTCGCTTGGTCCCCATTCTCTCTCTTGCCTGCTGCCATGTAAGACGTGCCTTTCACTTTCTGCCATGTTTGTGAGGCCTCCCCAACCACGTGGAACTGTGAGTTCATTAAACCTCTTTTTCTTTGTAAATTACCCAGTTTCGGGTATGTCATTATCTACAATGTGAGAACAGACTAATATACTTCTGTCGCCCAATTCCCTCTTTTCTCGTACAATTTATCCTACTCATCTTTCAGGATTCCATCTAGATGTCACCTGCTCCAAGAAGCTTAACCCTTCAGAGCTATATTAAATAAATGTTTCTCTTAGGAGATTTGGCAACAGTGTTCATGCCTCTAAAATCTGGAAAAATCCTTCAGCCCCATCTATAATCTTGCCCAAAGTTGGTTTTACACTCCCTCAGGTGAGCCAACAAATTCCTTATTTTGATGAAACAATTTTGTCTTGAGTTCTCTTTCTTTTGCTATCATAACCAACATAACTGGTGGTTAGGAAACTGATACAGTCATCCTCCAATATCCAGAGAAAATCGCTTTTAGGAAGGCAGTGAATAGAAGGGTGTTTGAACACAGAAATGGGAACTGGGAGAAAATCTAATAGGTGCTGGTTGCATCCACTGACAGCCTGTGTCTGTTAGCTGGCCTAAGGCTGCTTGAGTCTTAAAGGCCCCTAAATATGCTTCTGGTTAGTACGATTAATTCAGGCCAAAGGAGAGAAAGCCAAGGCTATTGAGAGGCAAAGAAGCAAGAGGGCTTCTGTTGCTGCACTCTGGGCTCAAATATTGAGGGTGGAATGAACTGGTCTTAGGGAAGTCGACAGAGCAGTTGGCAGCCTCTTCCTAGGCAAGGGAAATAGGAGCCTCTGAAGGCAAAGCTTCCCGGAGGGGAAGCTCCTGGACAAACCGAGAACCATCCCTGACAATGCACCCTTCCGTGACTCTCCATGCACAGCATGGTCCATTGGTCACTCTGAAGCCTTTCTTAAGCATCTGATGATCTACACACATCCAAATTCCTCAAGTTTCTCATGGATCACAGCAATTGAGGGCAGTGTTTGCACACCAAATATCTGGATATCATTTTGTTAATTACAGGTTATTTAATAATATACGTAACTCTCTGATATCTAACAGAGAAACCCTCCCAGAGTGGCCTGAGAGCAGGAGTGTAGACCTGGACTTTTATTTTCCATTGGAAGAAATGGAAGCCAAGACAGAGCCATGATTTGTCCAAGGTCACACAGCTCCACGGTGACAGGGTTGGGACTAGAATATGAGACTTCTGAGTTAGAGCCCGCTACTCTTTGAAATGCGTCCTCATGGCCCCAAACATGCTTGTTTTATCATTCAGAGGCACAGTCAGAGAAACAAGCTTATACAGAAATGTGATTAGTCAGCAGATGGCAATCTATTGAGGAATCTCAAAAACATTCTTTATTCCCTTCTGGATTTAGCTTGCTACTGTCCATAGGGTACGAAGTCGGCCATTGCTTCAGTTTCCTCTACAAATGACTTTCTTTCTCTGCTACCCTATCAGGATCAGAGGATGCTGGGGATAGTAAATGGGGATAGTATCATGAGATAAAGGGTGAGGATAACTTGATATGATAAAGATAGTAAACTTCTGCTCAGATGAGTGCAGTGGCTCACGCCTGGAATCCCAGCGCTTTGACAGTTTGCGGCAGGAGGATGGCTTCAGCCCGGGGGTTCAAGGGTGTGCTGAGCTATGATTGAGTCACTGCACTCCAGCCTGGGTGATAGAGCAAGACCCTGTGTCTAAAACTAAACAAAAAAAAATTTCTGCTCAAGAAATTGTTTTAAAGTTTTAATTTTTTTTGGTTTACTGTGAGTAAATATAAAAAGCTATTCTCTTCTGATCTTCATTGTCAAAATGTTTAATGTGTTTTTAGTCCATTTCCTGCATGAATGAAGAAGAGCATACTTTTCTCTTAGCTGCAGAGGATTCCGTAATCATCTATGCCTATGCCAATATCAGTTCTCATTGTGCAGTATGGTTGATGTACAAGAAAAAACCTAGGAAATAATATGATTTAAAAATCCTTGCAATAATTTTTTTTTTGAAATGCTGCTGTCCCAAAAGTGAAATATAGAGACCATCAGGACAATTGTGGGTTTCACCAAGTCAAATTTTTTTTCCTATGTGACAGGAATTAAAATTAAATTTTTTTCTCCGATTTACGTAAGCACTATACGTAAAATTAAAATTCATGGTTGTTTCCCCCGATTCATGTGAACGTATTTTCCATTTGTCCCTCTGAAATCATTCTCTACGCTTCTCGCCCTGCTCTGTATCCCAGAGGCTGACCTCTGTGGACTGTATCAGTGGGTTCCTCTGTCTCTTTGTCTTGGGTTTGAGCAACGAGAGGTATCAACAGATCAGGGGGCGGGGGGAGAGATGTGGGGTACTCATTTTTCCCATTCCCTGCTTGTATTGCTGAAATTTTGGCAGTGGGTTCATTTCTCTTCAATGCACCTCATCTGCTTCTGTTAGATGCCAATGAGCTCCAGCTTCTAGAGCTCCAGCTCTTTCTGGGTTCCAGGTTCCCTCACCTTGACCTTTCAGACCCACGGGTCTGGATGTTTTACCTTCCCTTATGGGTTCCCTTAATCCTGCCCACCTCTCTGTACATAGTCCCTTATTAAGCTCCCTTTAATATAATACTGTGAAGGTAACATCTGTTGCCTGCTGAGACCCCCATTGACACTTAGACCCCGACTGACACAATAACAAAAATATATTGCCTTGGGAAAGCATAAATGTTATAGTGGACAATCCTTTCCTTTGGGGAATTATAATTCTTTGTTCCATAGTAATTATCCTTAGTCCATGTGGTATTTTAATGGTGATTTTCTAGTTTCCTTATTTCTATCTTTACTTATTTATATTCTTCTGTAATAAAGGGCTGCCTCTTTTTCCCCATGTATTTATTTAAATCAATATGGTCTTGTGAATATTGATTTCATTCTTTGGATTATAATTCTATGTTATTATTATTATTTTTTTGAGACAAGATCTCACTCTGTCACCCAGGCTGAAGTGCCATGGCGTGATCTTGGCCCACTGCAACCTCCGCCTCCTGGGCTCAAGTGATCCTCCTGTCTCAGCCTCCCAAGTAGCTGGGACTGCAGGCACCCACCACCATGCCTGGGTAATTTTTGTATTTTTAGTAGAGATGGGGTTTCACCGTGTTGGCCAGGCTGGTCTCAAACTCCTGGCCTCAAGTGATCCACCCACCTTGGCCTCCCAAAGCGCTGGAATTATAGGCGTGAGCCTCTGTACCTGGCCAATTCTATATTATTATACTTTAAAAAATTTGTTTTGTTGTTTAATTTGTTCCAGCTTTGGTCGCTGGGAATTCTTTCGGGTTGGATTTTGACATGGTTCTATTCCTGTTCTTTTTTTCTCAGCACTTCCTTACTTTCTGGCACCACAGTATGCCTCCAGGCTCATCTTGTGTTTTCTTTGCCTCAACTACTTCTCCAAAGTGCTCTGTTTTCTTTTACTGAAGAATGGTATTTGGAAACCATGGTATTTACCCATGCCTGTAATCCCAGTCTTTGAGAGGCCAAGGCAGGCAGATAACTTGAGCCCAGGAGTTCAAGACCAGCCTGGGCAACATGGTGAAACCCCATCTCTACAAAAAAAAATATACAAAAAATAGCCAGGCACGGTGGCACCTGCCTATAGTCCCAGCTACTTGGGAGGCTGTGGGAGGACCACCTGAGCCTGAGAGGCCAAGGCTGCAGTGAGCTGTCATTATGCCACTGCACTCCAGCCTGGGTGGCCAAGTGAGACCCTATTTCAACAACAAAACAAAACGAAAAAGAAGTACATACCATCTCAAATGTGTCTAGTGCAAGTAACCAAAGACATCATGCTTTAAACTTGGGAAGCAATTTTAATACTCAACAGAATAAGGAACAGTATATAAGACTCCTCTTATATGCTGTCAAAAAGACTAGAAAGGGCAAGAAGACATAATCATCATGAACATATATGCACCTAACAAGATACATAAACATTCCAACCAGAGCAGTGTCTAACTGTTATTTTGGTAAATTTTCAAATGATCCCCCACACCCCCAGACCTCCAGATCACCTGGTGCTTCCGATTTCTAAGGCTCTGGGAAACATTAAGAGTGGGAGAGTGTGTGGGGTTCAGCAATGTGCTTCTCATCTTGTATTCTTTGCAGATGCACAGGTTGCATTCAGCTAAGTCTGTTATTGCTCCCTTTCCAGTTTCCATTTATGTCTATTGTCCTCTATTGTCTCTTCTTCTGCCCTCATTGTCATTATCATTTTAAACCCTTTAAATGATTTCACTGTTATTTTAGTGGAGTTATCTTACTACTCGTGAGTCATTTAGAACTTGGATTAGTGCTTTGACCTGTATCAGGAATCATATTCACTTTTTCTTTAAAATTTAATGGCTCTTTCTTTAACAAATGAGATCATATATAATGCTTTATAATCTACTTTTAAAGATTAATACAGTATGAAGATTTTTCATTTGTGGGCAACTTGCTATAGGACCTGCTCTCTTCATTCCTTCGTCACCACTTGCCCATAGTGTGTCACACAGGAAGGCAAGGATGGTTAGCACACTTGGCCCTGGGAGGATGAAGAATGCAATGGGCTGGAAGTCCTAGGGCAGGTGGGATGTGAATATGGGACAACACATTGCCAAGGGGCAGCTATTGGGAAAGGATACAGGGCATGTGGCTTAAGGCAGATGCTTTTTCACTCTGAAACAACTGGGGCAAAAATTTGTAGACAGCTGGACACTATTTGCAGATAAGACATCGTACTGATTGTGCAATGACATGGCCTAGCCACCTTCCCAAGGATAGAATTCTATCTGGCTTTATTAACTCTCCAGGGATGGCCTCGACTTTGGCTGCCTGTTCTTCCGGCCACCCCAGGAGGCTGAACACCCCCCCGAATGCAGGCTGTGGGCCAAGAAGAATAGTGACAGGAGATGGGGAGTGGGCATATCTGGGGGTCTCTGAATCCACCCAAAGGACAAGGGTCCATTGAAGGAAGCTAAATAGGAACCTGATCAGTATTTCCTCTGAAGTATTAGTAGAAGTGATAATGATGTCTATGGCCGGGCATGGTGGCTCACACCTGTAATCCCAGCACTTTGGGAGGCTGAGGCAGGCAGATCATTTGAGGACAGGAGTTCAAAACCAGCTTGGCCAACATGGTGAAACCCCATCTCTAATAAAAATACAAAAATTAGCTGGGCGTGATGGTGGGCACCTGTAATCCCAGCTACTCAGGAGGCTGAGGCAGGAGAATTGCTTGAGCCTGGAAGGCGGAGGTTGCAGTGAGCCAAAAGTGTGCTACTGTACTCCAGCCTGGGCAAAAAAGCAAGATTCTGCCTCAAAAAAAAAAAAAAAAAAAAAAAAAAAGAAGTGATAATGATGTCAGTAGAGTCCTGAAGCTTGGGGCATTGCTGAGCATCAGACAGGAAAGGTGTATTTTTCTTAGGCTACCTGATTCACCAGCCCTTTACATTTCAGCGGTACTTTTGGGTAGAAAGCAGAAAAGCTTTTGATTTCTTTTTCCTGAAGGAAGATAATTTTGTAATCAGCTGGGAATTCAGTGTGAGGATTAAAAAGAGGAGTAAAGAGAATTCCAGATTGTGAAGGCAGGGCAGTCTTGCTTCCAGGCAAACCCGATGACAGTCAAATCTAGTTTTGCAACACAATTAGGGCATTTTCACTGACCTCAGAAATGTTGGAGAAATTCTTACCAAAGGCTGGGTGTGGTGGCTCATGCCTGTAATCCCAGCACTTTGGGAGGCTGAGGTGGGTAGATCACCTGAGGTCAGGAGTTCGAGACCAGCCTGGTCAACATGGCAAAACCCTGTCTCTACTAAAAATGCAAAAATTAGCCAGGCATGGTGGCGGGTGCCTGTAATTCCACCTACATGGGAGGCTGAGGCAGGGGATCGCTTGAACCCAGGAGGCAGAGGTTGCAGTGAGCCGAGATTGTGCCACTGCACTCCAGCCTGGGTGACAGAGCCAGACTCCATCTCAAAAAAAAAAAAAAAAAAAATCCTTACCAAAAAAATGGAAGTGAATCCCCATTTTAAGTTCACTTTGATTTAAAAATATAGTCATGTGCTGGTTAACGACAGGGATACATTCTGAAAGACGTAAAATTAGGCAATTTCACTGTACAAATATCGCATGGATGGTAGAGTCCACAGCACACCTGGGGTATAGGGTATAGCCCATTGCTCCTAGGCTACAAACCTGGACAGCATGTGACTATACTGAATACTACAGGCAGTTTTAACACAAGTAAGTATTTGTGTATCGAAACCTAAAATACAGTATTATTATCTTATGGGACCACTGCCATGTATGCGGGCCCTTGTTCACTGAAACATTGTTACGCAGTGCATGAGTGTAAATATAGGGGAAGGGAGAGGATGTGAAATCAGACAATGGCACTGATCCTGGCCTTATCTACAACCACTGCTGTGTTTCTGGGTCTTATACCCCAGATCTGTTTCCTGCCCCTTCCTCTGCCCCTCCTGTCTTGGTTAGGTGACCTTCCTTCCTCCACACTGAGAAAGAAATGATGCTTCCTGTTACTTTCAGGGACTGATGTGGGACTCCTGAACTCCGTTGTGCGTGCTGTCCTGCTGGTACCAAGGCTAAGGCCTGGGAGCAAAGGTCGGTCTTCCCTTAGGGCAGAGGATGTTCTCAGCATTAATCATCTTGGGGCAGGAAATGACTAGCAAGGTGGCTCTTAGGAGAGCGAGGGAACCCAGGGCCTTATCGCTTAAGCCTAGATTCTAAGGAATCTAGATGAGCCTTTTTTTTTTTTTTTTTTTGAGACGGAGTCTCACTCTGTCGCCCAGGCTGGAGTCCAATAGCACGATCTCGGCTCACTGCAAGCTCCGCCTCCCAGGTTCAAGTGATTCTCCTGCCTCAGCCTCCCGAGTAGCTGGGACTACAGGCATATGCCACCATGCCCGGCTAATTTTTTTTTTTTTTTTTTTTTTTTTGTATTTTTGGTAGAGACGGGTTTTCACTGTGTTAGCCAGGATGGTCTCTATCTCCTGACCTTGTGATCCGCCCGCCTCGGCCTCCCAAAGTGCTGGGATTACAGGCGTGAGCCACCGCGCCCGGCCTATCTAGATGGGCTTGACAGGGGTAAGACAGTCCATGCTACCCAGATGCTGAACAGGAACTCGGCAGACCGGAAGCCCCGGAAGACCCTGCGACAAATAACCTGGGGGCTTTGGGGCACCGACAATGATGTTACCCAGCAAACAGTCAAAAAGAAAACTTTTTTTTAGAGAGGCATAATTGCCTTTTGTAATCAGCAAAGTCTGGTCATGCACCAAAGATGATTATCCGCTGAATTGTGCAGAAGGGGCAGTTGTGTCCCTTTTCTTGGGCTGGATTTTTAAGGCAGAGGGCAGTGCCTCCCGAGGCCACTGTGGCAGAAGCGATTAGCGGGATCCCCACAGAGAAAGTGAGACTCAGGAAACAAGGGGATGCAAGATCAGCCGGGCTTCCTGACTTGGGTCATTATCTTATTTCCAGGAGCCAGCGGGTTTCCTCACTGCACTCACCACACTCACTCATGTGCTCTACTGCCCTTTGGGCTCCAAGAGAGCAGGATCCTGGCTTATTTCACTCCAAGTAGCACCTGACTCAGAACCTGCTCTGCAGTGAGTTCTCAATCAATGATGTTTGAAGACATGGGCCCCAGTGATAGTGCTTTCTCTATGCGCTCTCTATGGAAAATGACAAATCTTCTTAAGGCATCCTGATGGAGGCACTGAATGGCTGAGATCCGCTCTGCTGGTCTCCCCTTTGGAGAGATCATTGGTGCCACATGCTTGATTTTCATCTGAGACCTCACCTAGAACTGAGCATGTTGGTGCCTTGTCACCTTGGGATGTTTCCATGCTATTTTTTTCTAATAGAAAAGTTAGTATTTGCACATGGTTAACAAAATTCAAACAGTACAACAGGGTATACCATGAAAAGCATCTTCCTCCCAAATCAGACCTTTAGTGTCCCCTCTCCGGAGGCAGAAGACTTCTTGGACATTCCTCTGAAGCTTTTCTACATAAAAGTAAGCACATACATGTATATATTTATATGGGTATATTTTTAGATATCCACATGTGCTTAACTTTTCAATTTGCTTTTGTCATTCAAAGTATTTCCTGGCAATTTTTCATATTGCCCCATGTAAGTTGACTTTATTCCTTTTAAATTAAAAAAATTCTATTAAGTAATACTTCTATATGATTTAAATATAAAACATACGTAAGAGTTTATAATAGAAGGAATCATCTTCTGCCTCATTTCCATTCTTCTTCCTTAAAGGCAACTGCTTATAACTGTTTGTCTTTAGTTTTTTTTTTGATAGATAGCACCGTAATATAAATCATATGTTTATATTTCTGTTTCTTAATTCATTGACTTAAAATATTATTTATTGACATTTTTCTATGATAGATGGATATCTCTCCCACTAACTAATATGCTTATGCCTCTATTTATCTGTCAACTTTAGACATTATCTATTGATTTTCTAATAAGATAGATGAGCGTTTAGCTACTTACTACACCCCATCTCCTCCCAACACTGTTCCATCTTTATTTCCAGTTTTCCCCTTGTCACTTCTGCAACATCAAACACCACACTTAAAACTTGATTGCTTTTTGTATCAACCATAGGAAGCATCGTTTGACTTTGAAATATAAGAATATTAGCAAACTCAACCTTCCCTTTGCTCATATCACCCCCTCCATAACAACCTTCCTATCGTTCAAAATCTTTCAGCTTTCCCTTTATTTTGCCACTGTCAAGTTGATAAAATTTTCATTCTCTTCTGCAACCATGGTGAAGGTTTCCATGATTTGCTGGTACACCTGAGTGATATATTGATTAGGACTCATTTAGTAGAAAGTGACAGAAAACTCAACTTGAAGCCGGTGAAGCAGGAAAATAAATTTATTTGCTTTACAACACAAGCAGCAATATGTAGGGATAGCTTCAGCCTCAGGTAAAGATTCATTCAAAAATGTTATCAGGACCCAGGTTCTCTTTCTCCAGCTCTTACATTCTTCTTTGTGTTGGCTGCAGCCTGGGTGAGTGTCCCCCAAGGAGTCAAGATATTGGCAGCTGCTTTTCCCTTCCCTTTCTCAGGTTTAAGTCCAGTAAATCCAATGGGAAGAAGAGAAAGTTTCTTCCAAGTAGTCCTGTTTGGGGATTTTTTTTTTTAACGGAGTCTCACTCTGTCATCCAGGCTGGAGTGCAATGGCGGGTCTTGGCTCACTGCAACCTCTGCCTCCAGGGTTCAAATGATTCTCCCACCTCAGCCTCTTGAGTAGCTGGGATTACAGGCATGCGCCACCATGCCCAGCTAATTTTTGTATTTTTAGTAGAGATGGGGTTTCACCATGTTGGTCAGACTGGTCTCAAACTCCTGACCTCGTGATCTGCCAGCTTTGGCCTCCCAAACTGCTGGGATTACAGGCGTAAGCCACTGTGTCCAGCCCGTTTGGGGATTTATTCTGATTGGAACCATGTGTTCTCACTCCAGTCCCTGAACAGGGAATAAGGGCAGGCTGATTACCTGACCCTGATCTCAGGTTCCTCCCCTGGAACCAGGCCTAAAGCCTCACCTAAAGCACTGAAGGGGTTTCCAAAGAGGAAATCAGGATGCTGTTACCAAAAGAAAAGGGAGAGAATGCTGGGTACCCTACAATAAGAAATTACCCACCTGAGGCATTAAACTCAAATGTCGTCGGGGTCCTGTTTGCAGAAATTTGGGAACTGACCTAATGAGAGATACAGAGAAGAATGGTTCCTGTGGCCTAAGAGCTGTGCAGTCATTTTTAAAAAATGTCATGAGCCAAACAAAATCTGTCTGGAGGCCAAATTGTTTTTGAGAGCCATCATATGCAACTGTTGGCCTGTATATTCCTTCTGAAAGTTGAGAAAATTGGACGGCATTTATATGATTACGACTATGTAAACAGTTTTTTAGGGCAGAGTGAGTTAATGTTTTAAAATTCTCTAGGATCCGTGTCATGTGACACTCAACAAGAATGTTGCTGGTATCAAGCTGCTAAGATTCTTTCCCTCTTACACTCCCCCAGGATCTTTGCTCAGAATCAATCTGCATTGTGACTTACGGTACACCTGCACCATCCTCTGAGTGACAGACCCTGTTGCCTGTCCAACTGCCATTCCCTCTTTCTTCCTGGCTAGGATCTTTTCTTTTGTTTACCTTGGGTGTTGTCATTTATATTGCAGTTCTGTCATAGGCAGTACTGTTCAAGATGCAGTGGGAATGCAGCCCAGCAGGTCTCAGCCTCATTTTACTCAGCCCCTATTCAAGATGGAGTCACTTTGGTTCGAAAGCGACTGGGTAAAATGAGGCTGACACCTGCTGGGCTGGATTCCCAGGAGGTGAGGCATTCTTAGTCAACAGGATATTTACAGTTAAGGGAACAAGTTAATAAAGTTCACTGAAGAGATTCAGGACTTAACAGACCCGGGAAATAACAGATCCAGGAAATGTCCTGATGTCCCGATATCTTAAGAACAAAAACATTCTTGGTTTAAGAGTAAGTTTTTCTTTAAAAATAATAATACAGATTCTTGCAGAAGACAGTAGTTACACCAAGGTTAACAACTGTTTGTCATAAGCCCCTGTAGCAGAGTACATCTCCCTCATGATTTTGGGCTTATATATAATATGAACAAGCATTGCACCTAAGGTGTTTCCTCCTCTTGCTTTCAGGAGTGCCCTGCTCTGCCTGTGGAGCAGCCGTTCTTTCAGTCCTCGACTTTCTTAATAAACTTGCTTTCACTTTTCTCTGTGGACTTGCCCCGAACTCTTGTGCAAGATCCAAGAACCCTCCCTTGGGGTCTGGATCAGTACCCCACTCCTTTCCGGTAACAGTTCTTCTCATATGTCTTGTGATGCTTTGTGATCTCTTTGCGTTTTTTAAATTTTTTATTTTTAAGACAGAGTCTTAAAATATGATGGTGCACAAGACATTTTTGAAGGCTTGGAGGTCACAGGAAGGGATTTAAGAAAAGAAAAATCCATTCTTACACCTGATTTCATTCACTCATTCATTTATTCATTCAATTATGTGCCAAGCCCCTTCTGGAGAGAATCAGCTGTTCACAGTGCAGCTTGCGAGGGGCTGCCACCCAGGCTCTGGAGTGCAGTGGGGCAATCTCGGTTCACTGCAACCTCCACCTCCTGGGCTCAAGCGATCCTCCCACTTCAGCCTCTCAAGTAGCTGGGACTTAAGACACTCACCACCATGCCCAACTGATTTTTAAAACTTTTTTTTTGTAGACACGGTGGCTCACTATGTTGCCCAGACGGGCCTTGAACTCTCCTGGCCTCAAAGGGCCCTCCCACCTAGGCCTCCCAAAGTGTTGGGATTACAGGCATGAGCCATCACGCCCAGCCAGATGTTTTCTTATATATGAACTTGTCTTCTATTGATTAACAATTAATTTTGTGATTACAAACTCTGGTGCTGCGAACATTCTGGGACATACATTTATGCACAAGTATATCTACAGAATAAATTCTTTTTTAAAAAAATTATTATACCTTAAGTTCTAGGGTACATGTGCACAACGTGCAGGTTTGTTACATAGGTATACATGTGCCGTGTTGGTTTGCTGCACCCATCAGCTCGTCATTTACGTTAGGTATTTCTCCTGATGCTATCCCTCCCTCAGCCCCCACCCCCTGACAGGCCCTGCTATGTGATGTTCCCCTCCCTGTGTCCATGTGTTCTCATTGTTCAACTCCCACTTATGAGTGAGAGCATACGGTGTTTGGTTTTCTGTCCTTGTGATATTTTGCTGAGAATGATGGTTTCCAGCTTTACCCATGTCCATGTAAAGGACATGAACTCATCCTTTTTTATGGCTGCATAGTATTCCATGGTATATATGTGCCACATTTTCTTTATCCAGTCTATTGTTGGTGGACATATGGGTTGGTTCCAAGTCTTTGCTATTGTGAATAGTGCCACAATAAACATACGTGTGCATGTGCCTTTATAGTAGCATGATTTATAATCCTTTGGGTATATACCCAGTAATGGGATGGCTGGGTCAAATGGTATTTCTAGTTCTAGATCCTTGAGGAATCTCTACACTGTCTTTCACAATGGTTGAACTAATTTACACTCCCACCAACAGTGTAAAAGTGTTCCTATTTCTCCACATCCTCTCCAGCATCTGTTGTTTCCTGACTTTTTAAAGATCGTCATTACAAAATAACTTCTTAGAGGTAGAGTGTTGGATCAAGGTCATTGGAAATGTCCTCTCTGGAGTATGTATCTGTGTGTGTGCACGTGCATGTGTGTTTTTGGAAAGCAGGATTGCATACTGAGAAAAGTATGAGCTCTGGGGCCAGGTTGCTGGACTCATCACCTTTTCTCATTTCCTTAAGCAGTGCTGTGACCTTGGGCAAGTTACTTAAGTTTCTGTGTCTTGGTTTTCTAATGAGTAAAAATGGGAATAATAATATCACCTTTCTTCTAGGGTTGTGAGGATTAAATGAGTTAATTTGCTGAGATTCATGTCTGATACCAAACACTCAATAACCATGGCCTGTTACTGAGTGTTATTCTAGGTCAGACTTAGCAACACACTAATCAGAAAGTCTACTGTTCTTAGCGGGCCAGTGCTGGAACTCCGATGAGTTCATGCGTGCCTCTGAGCACACCCACTGAGCGAGGAGAGGTGGTCCTCAGAGCCCGGATGCAAGCCCAGGGCCTCCGCAGACCTAGAAAGTGGCTCTGAGCTTTCTTCCTCAGCGGTCTCCTGAATGTGGCCGCTCGCAAGCTGCACTGTGAACTGCTGACTCTCTGTTCCAAAAGGGGCTTGACACATAATTGAATGAATATATGAATGAGTGAATGAAACCAGGTGTAAGAGTGCATTTTTCTTTTCTTAAATCCCTTCCTGTTACCTCCAAGCCTTCAAAAATGTCTTATGCAGCATCACAGCCCCGATTTACTATACGTGTGCTTGGAGGGGCACAGCATGGCACGACCCGACCCGAGTGGACTGTAGCAACCAAGTCAAATGGGAGACAAAGTGCAGTTCCGAGGGGTCTCCAGGAATATCTGGGAGGGGGGACCCTGGTAGAAACCTGAACCCCCTGATTTCTTATGGGTGGGGAATTTGGACAGCTTGCACTTGGGACACAATGAAAAAAGAATGAGCTCACAACCCTGGGAAGCCAGAAACAGCTTGGATAGCACGGGGCCTGCCACACGGTAACCTCTAAATAAATGGAAGCTTTCTATATTCTAACTTTCAGTAGAGACTAAAATAAAATGTGCATTTGATGCCATATCCACTCATTCTAAAGCCATATCTGCCTTTTTGTATTATGAATATGACTGTCCATTTAGAACAATATTTCCCGTATGGCCATTACATCTATAAAATGATTGTTAGATAGAATGAGACTCAGAGGACAGATAGGAGAACAGGGATCTCGGGCACCCAACAAGCCCTTCTTAGTGGCATAAACTTGCCTTAGTCACATGAAATTTCAAAGAATTGGTTTCTGCCTCTGTAAAACGGGAATCAGTGCCATAATATAATAACTACCACCTGTCTGGGCCAAAGAGCACATCTTGACATTAAATTAAAAGAGAGAGCAAACAAATTAATTAAGAGTGGGTAACATGCCCAGAAATCTTGACCCTAAAATCACTATTAACGGTAAAAGCATTACAGTATTACATTTCTATAACATTCCTAGCAGACAGTTGGCTAAGGAAAAATCTTGATTCTGAATTGTCTTAGAATATGTTTATAATTTATTATTTTTCACCATTCACATATTAATGTGTTGAGAAACAGAAGATCTATGTTCAAAAAGGAGTTACTTTCTGAAAGTAGGTGATATATACCATATAGGTAGAATACTTCACATGTACATAATACCTCCACACATAATAACATAATACATAAGGATAATTGTTAATGTAGGGCTCTCTTTTTTCTTTTTGGTATTGTTGAAAACTAATCAAGAACTTAGCCTAGCTAGTAAAAAAAAAAAAATCAAATTACCAAAGACCTATTTATAGTTATCAGAAAAGGCAATGTGGATCCTGAAACCAGGAAACTTGTTTTGAGGGTGGGGGGAAGATTCCGGGAAGATTCCGGAAAGATCCCGAAAAGTCCAGAAAGATTCAGAAAACACATCACACCGCATCTCTCCAGGCGAAAGATTGAGTCTACCTCCTATTTTAATAATGAAACAGCTGCTAGGGTCGTGGCCCTTCTAGGGGTCTTCATTTGTGATGGACAACTGGGTCGTTTTTGTTTTGTTTGGGGGAATAAATATTTGAAGGGGGGTAACCAAAGAAGGTTTTGCTGCTGTTATGATGTTATTGATACGCAGGCTGACGCTATTATGGCAGATGCTATCAGGCTACATTATCTTTATGCCTCCTAGGTAACCTGAAGCAATTGTCTATTGACTTGGCACTACCCTACCCTGAAGCGTCTGCCCTGCCTAGGAACTGTAACCGGAGCCACTCACATGCCTCCCCAACAGCTTTCTTTAGCCACTGACAGCATCACAGAAGGAAGAGCGCGAAATTGCCCAGGATGGACACTTTCAAAGGGGCCCCAGCGGCTAAGTGACTCTCAGGGAAGGTGGCCTTGCCATCCCAACTTCTATTTAGGGGCAACCACTAGCAAGTTCTTCTCTTCGGGCAATTGGAAAGAGTTCCTATAAGCAAAGTGGAGGTGATGTGGACCCCTGGAAAATTTCCTTGCCCCGTTTGAACTTTGCAATGATTCACTGCAAGTCATGTCCACGTGGAAAGCAAGACTCACCAAAAGACTGAAGTCTCCCTCTAGAAGCATGCATCCATTTCCGTGCTCAGCTCTGCTCGCCTGTTTTGGGAATACGAGGGAGAGTGCTTCCTTCAATCAGTCCGGCGTGGCTGATACTCATTCCACCGTCCGTGTGCAGCCTGTGGCCAAAGCAGGCAGACAGCCAAGACACCCAAGCGCAGAAGGAGCTCCAGAGAAAAGGCAAGATTCGAGCACCCATGCAGAGAGAAATGGCAGTGCGAATCGGAATTCAAGTCACCGCACTGCGGCCCAGCCCGCGGAGACGCCTGAAGATGTGCCCGGGTCCCTGGATGATGGGGCGGACTGTGAAGCAGTGGTGTTTCACGCTTCCATCCCCAGACCATCAATTATTGACACGCCCAAGGTGAGTGAGTGTTCGCTCTGCGATTATAGACGGGATGGAGCTGGAGGAGCGTTGGGATCATGTGGCGAATGTTTCAGCAAACAAACTCATTTAACCTTACTGAATAAGGCATTGCGGGCGTTCTCACTAGTGCGAAGAAGTGTGTTAAAGCCGTGTAGATTCTCAGAGTGTTCTCAAAAGATGTGGATGAGGCAATGATAATAAGCACTGGAGCCATGGCAATGACCGAAGGTAACCTTGAATTAACGGGCTAGGGTGCCTTAGAGCCAAAAATGGCTCACTCAATAACAGATTAGGAGTAAGATAGTTTACAAAAACATTTTTTTCCTTTTTCTATTTCCCCCTCCACCCCCACCGGTCTGTCAATTTATTTATATGAAAATCCACAATCTAAAAAGTTTGGCTAGGGAATTCACAAAACTGCCTCTACTTAAAATGAATCACATGATATCAAAGCAGTCTGGAAAAATTTGGAAATGATCATCAGTGTATGCCTAGTGGTACGGAAGGGAACTGACCTATAAAACTATTCATAATATGGATGTTTTTGTGATAATCTTCTGAGAGTTGAAGGCAGGAGGAGGAAGTTATTTAAAAAAAATGGTGCCACTGCTCTTAAGAGTTATTTACTTATTTTCTTTCCATTTTTGGCATCAGTGAATTTTAATTGTTGAGTATTCTGATTAGATGGAGCTGTACAATTATTTCAAAGTTCCCGGTAATCCCAGTTTGCAGATGCAGTGTAGAGGAAAGGTTTTCTAAAAGGTACACTCCAAAGATATCTCTTGACCATTTTTGGTCATTTCCTAGCCAAGTAGCTTAGGACCAGACTTAAAAAACTGAGAAGTCTTTGGGGATCCATCACTAAAGTATTCTGATTTTTTAAATCATTTTTCCACATCCGTTTAACAAATTATTTTTTGGTCTGGCTTGCTTCACAGAATCTAAGAAGCCTCCTTAGCAAGAACACAGCCAACCAGCAAAGATAGGGTTAAAACATCATTTAAAAAATAGTTTCATTTGACACCCTGCAGGTTTATATGAAATGACTGAAGCTTGGGTCTGTCGTCTGCATTCTGAAATTGGACAGAGAGTTTTACCATATCCTCTGTCACAGCAAAAACTGCTATGTTTTTTTCTAGCACCACTAAACCAAAGCCCATAACCAACCAGCAAAAACCAAAATTTTCAGTGTATAGCCACATCCAGATTAAGATATTTTTGGTAGTATTATAGGTAGCTGATTAGAATTCATGGCCAAGTTGATATTTGTTGGATATTTATGGTACCAATGATGTACAGTTTTAATGAACCGGAAGACTTTCTGTTGAGCAATGCAGACCCACCTTATATTACTGAAGACAGCCGCAAGAACAAAGGGTTACTTTGATTTTATCTTTCTGTTTTAGTTGCACATGGGACTCAGGGACTCAAGGCAAGCATGTGAATTCAAATAGAACCAATAACACAAAATGGGGCCACATCCATGTTTAGTGTCCACTTGGCAGGAGCAAAGCCATGGGTGGTCCACAGCGTAGGATGGATTACAGTTGGGAAGCCCGGAGCAGAGAGGACATTGTAACAATCCAGACAGGAACAACAGGGAGATAAAGTGGGAGGGGCTCCATGAGGCAGGACACGCGGCAGTTGACTGTGCGGTCCAAACCAGGCAGGGAGGGAAGCAGTGATGCAATGCAAACACTGAAATCAAGTGCCAGGAGGTGCAGGAAGAGGGCCTGATGTGGGTAAATGGGCATCTATTCTAGTTCAAACACCGAGAGCTAAGCTGTGCAGAGCACTTGTAGTTCGCTAGCCCTTATTCTAAGTGCTTTACACAGAGTATCTCAGCCAACCCTGGTGACAGTGAGGTGCATATATATATATATATATTTTTTTTTTAAGATGGAGTCTTGCTCTGTCTCCCAGGCTGGAGTGCAGTGGCACGATCTTGGCTCACTGCAGCCTCTGCCTCCCAGGTTCAAGCAATTCTCCTGCCTCAGCCCCACGAGTGGCTGGGACTACAGGTGCCTGCCACCAGGCCCAGCTAAGTTTTTGTATTTTCAGTAGAGATGGGATTTCACCGTGTTAGCCAGGATGGTCTCGATCTCCTGTCCTCATGACTCCCCCGCCCAGCCTCCCAAAGTGCTGGGATTACAGGAGTGAGCCACCATGCCCGGCCAGTGCATATTCTTATGGTGCCCATGTTACAGAGGAGGGCATGGATGCTTAAAGAGGGTAAGACATTTGCCCAAGGCCACAAAGAGAGGATGTGGCAGAGACAGGACTGGAACCCACTTCTGTTTGACTCCAAAGTCCATCCTCTGAATTATAATGTGCTTCTACTACTAATTAATTGTGTAGTGTTTGAGGATTTAGGATCAACTATTCATATGTGATCTCGCTTGATACTCAATCACATTTAAATATCATACATATTGGCTGGGCATAGTGGCTCATGCCTGTCACCCAGAGCTTTGGAAAGCCAAGGAGGGAGAATCACTTGAGACCAGAAGTTTGAGACCAGCCTGGGCAACATAACGAAGGTTCATCTCTACAAAAATGAATAAATTAATTCCATGTATTTATATGTTGATGTCGATATAATTATTATTTGTTTTTTAATTTATTTTTATTTGTTGTTATTTTAATTGATATATCACAGTTGTATATTTTTTGGGGTATGTATACATGTATAAATGTGTAATTAAATCAGGGTAACTGGGATATCTACCACCTCAAACACTTACCTTTTCCCTGTGTTGAGAACATTACAATTCCTGTCTTCTAGCTATTTTGAAATACACAATAAATTATTGTTAACTATAACTTCTCCACCGTACTATCGAATACTCGAATTTGTTCCTTCTAACTGTACTTTTGTATCCAGTAACCAACTCCTCTTAATGATATTCAATAACTATTATTATTTGTTTTTATTCATATGCTTTACCCTTTTCTACCATAGCTTCATGGTATATAACACCACAGAAGATGTCCATTTTGCATCCTGTGAGTGACAAAGCTTTGCCGCTGGCAGTGTGGGGGATTGCTTTGAGATCTTCTGATTAAAAGTGGCTTAGAACTGCCCAGATTTTTCATTACCAAGTGACTTTGCAATGGCATGTTTTCCCTTAGCAGATGATGAATGAGATGCTTTTATTACAATCTTGCCTGGCGGAAAAATATTTCCCTTTTGGATGCACTGATCCTCATTATTTAAGCTGCCTCTGTAGAGGCCACAAATAATCTTTTTTTTTTTTTTTTTTTTTTTTTTTTTAGTTCAGCCTCAGACATAAGGTAAGAAATGGGGACAAGCCCCTCTCTCTATCTTCAGTTACCTGATGTTCAGACAGGAGGGTGGCTCATTTATATTGGAAACAATATCTGGTTCAAGAGAGAAAGCTTGAGGTAATGAAGCTAAACAAACTAAGCAAATATGAAACATTTTTGTTTGGTTTAGTGATGAGCGCACATGTCTGTATTGAAGAAATGCTATTGATCAGTCTTCAACTTTTTGTATTCATCTCTTTTCTGTTCCAGACCTGAAACCAAAGTGATAACAACCCTAAAATGGGAATGTGTCTTATAATTGTTAGTACCTCTTAATGATAACTTTTCCCCTTCTTAGTGGTCTTGTAGTTGAAGTGTCATATCATTGATGGAATTGTAGACTCAACGAAATTCAGCAGTACTGCTGTTTATTTTATTTTATTTTTATTTTTATTTTTTTGAGGCAGAGTCTTGCTCCATCACCCAGACTGGAGTGTAGTGGTGCGATCTCGGCTCACTGCAACTTCTGCCTCCCGTGTTCAAGTAATTCTCCTGCCTCAGCATCCCAAGTAGCTGGGATTACAGGCGCCAGCCACCACGCCTGGCTAATTTTTGTATTTTTAGTAGAGATGGGTTTTCACCATGTTGGCCAGCCTGATCTCGAATTCCTGACCTCATGATCCACCCGCCTTGGCCTCCCGAAGTGCTGGGATTACAGGTGTGAGCCACCGCGCCAGGTCTGCTGTTTATTTTTTTAGTCAGTAGTTATTATGCTCTTCCTCCATGTGAGGATAGCATTAGCCCTGGGGAAACACTGATGATTGTGACTCAATCTGTGAGGTTGCTGATGTTCTAGTGGGAAGTTCCATTGGGTAAACAGGCAGAATCAATGCAGTATGAGAGGGCTTATGGCTCAGCACCGGATGGAATACAAACACAGGACGGCACTCCATGTTCAGCCTTGGGAAGAAGACAGGGGAAGACTAGAATACAGGGGCTTCGATCTTTTTCTGTTCTAATTGCGAATCCAACTTAACACTGCACCCAGCCAAGTTGAATGGTGCTGTTTCACTCCTCTCTCTCCCAGTGATGTACGCAGTGTGAGAAAGGGAGAGTTCACACACTAAGCAACTAAAAGTTTCAGAGTAGTTTGGTAGTTTGAGAATGTCTTCCTATAGCAGTTGTAAGTTCCATCTAGCTTGTACTTGAACTGGGAGTAGCCAGCCTCACATAGGAAGAGATAGTAATTGTAGTTTGGGAAATCATTTCTGGGGTTTTTAAATAAAGAGCCAATTGTGGCCGGGCGCGGTGGCTCACGCCTGTAATCCAAACACTTTGGGAGGCTGAGTGAGGGGTGAATCACGAAGTCAGGAGTTCAAGACCAGCCTGGCCAACATCGTGAAACCCCGTCTCTACTAAAAATACAAAAAATTAGCTGGTCGTGGTGGCGGGCGCCCGTAATCCCAGCTACTTGGGAGACTGAGGCACAAGAATTGCTTGAACCCTGGAGGCTGAGGTTGCAGTGAGCCGAGATTGCACCACTGCAATCCAGCTTGGGTGACAGAATGAGACTCCGTCTAAAAAAAGAAAAGAAAAACAAAAATGTCAGTTGTACAAAAGTGAAGGGAAACAGGGCCCATCTTGGAATTGACAACTTCATTGATTTTTGGAACAGGTTGGTTTAGCAACTGGGCAGAGAAGTGGTAACCAAGCCATCCTAGCACCCCAGCAGTGGCCTGAAGATTCACAGGCTCTGGTGGTTACTGAGCGTCTGAGCCTCAGCACTGCTGTCTCCAAACACAGTTTTGTCAGTCGGCTTTCTCTGAGAGAATAGAGACTCCCTGTGTTGCTGGATACAGCAGGGTCAATTTGATTTTATCTTCCTGTTTTAGTGACACATGGGACACAGGGGCTCAAGGCAAGCACTGTGTGTTAGAATAGAACCAATAACACACAGTGGGGACAACATCTGTAGTTACTGTCCACTTAGCAGGGGCAAAGTCATGGGTAGGTGTAGGATGGATTAGAGTCAGGAAGGTTGGAGCATCAAGGCCATGGTAATAAACCTAATAGGGACAGCAGGAAGATGAGGTGAGAGATAGTTTACAAGAGCCTGATGCGTAAGTCAGAATGCTCATTTAGTTGTAAGCTTTGAGCACTAATGGGTAGGGTTGCGCTGACTGAGCCACGTATTCTCCCCATTGGAAAATCACCAGTAAAGCGAAATGATAACCAAAAATTTGTTGGAAAGCATGGACTTAGAGGAAGGAGAGTGATTCATTTTATTGTGATAAAATACACATAACATAAATTTTACCATTGTAACTGTTTTAAAGTATATAATTCTGTGTCATTAGGCATATTCACATTGTGGTGCCACCATCATTCTTTTGCATGTAGATATCCAAATTTCTCAGCACCATTTGTTGACAACACTGTCTTTTCCCCATTGAGTGGTCTTGGCACCCTTGTTGAAATCATTTGACCATATATGTGAGGGTTTGTTTCTGAGATTTCATTCTGTTCCATTGGTATATATGTCTGTGACAGTACCACACTGTTTCGATTACTGTAGTTTTGTAGTGAACTTTGAAATCTCAAAGTGTGAGACTTCCAATGTTGTTCTCCCATTTCAAAGATTGTTTTGATCATTTGGGGTCTCTTGAGATTCTCTATAAATTTTAGGACGAATTTTTCTATTTCTGCAAAAAACATTATTGAGATTTTGATAGGGGTTGCATTAAATATATAGATATATTTGAGCAGTATTGACATCTTACATTTTCTAATCCATGAACACAAGATATTTTCCATTTATTATATTTATGTCTTCTTTAATTTCTTTCAGTAACATTTTGAAGTTTTCAATGTGCACTTCTTTTGCCTCCTAGGTTAAGCTAATTCCTAAATATTTTATTCTTTTTGATGCTATTGTAAATAAAATTGTTTGTTAATTTCCTTTTCAGAGTGTTCATTGTTACTGTATAGAAATGCAACTGATTTTTGTGCAGGGGTCTTTATCTTACAATTTTGCTGAATTTATTTATTAGTTCTGTACATTTTTTGTTTTCTACACATAAGATCATGTCATCAACAGACAGATAATTTTACTTCTTCTTTTCCAATTTGGATGCCTTTTATTTCTTTTTCTTGCTTCATTGCTCTGGTGGAAACTTACAATACTGCATTGAATAGAAGTGGCAAAGTAAGCATCCTTGTTTTGTTCCTGATTTCAGAGTAAAAGCTTTCAGTCTTTCACCATTAAATGTGAGGCTAGTGGTGGGTTTTTCTTATATGAACTTTATTGTGTTGAGGTAGTTTCCTTCTATTCCTAACCTTTTGAGTATTTTTTTTATTATGAAAGGGTGTTGAATTTTGTTAATTTTTTTTCACATCAATTGAGATGATCACATGTGTTTTCTTTCCGTCATTCTGTCAATGTGGTATGTTACACTGATCGATTTTTCTATGTTGACCATCATTGTATTCCAGGAACAAATCCCACTTAGTCACGGTGTAATCTTTTTAATATGCTGCAGTTTTCTGTTTGCTAGTATTTTGTTGAGGATCTTTCTATTAATGCTCATCAGGGGCCGGGTGCGGTGGCTCATGCCTGTAATCCCAGGACTTCGGGAGGCTGACGTGGGTGAATCATATGAGGTCAGGAGTTCGAGACCAGCCTGGCCAGCATGGTGAAACCCTGTCTCTACTAAAAATACAAAAATTAGCTGGGTGTGGTAGAGGGGCTATAATCCCAGCTACTCAGGAGGCTGAGGCAGAGAATGACTTGAACCCGGGAGGCAGAGGTTGCAGTGAGCTGAGATTGTGGCACTGCGCTCCAGCCTGGGCGACAGAGGGAAACTCTCTCTCTCTCTCTCTCTGTCTCTCTCTCTCTCTCTCTCTCTCTCTCTCTCTCTCTCTCTCTCTATATATATATATATATATATATATATATATACATACACATCAGGGATATTGTTCTGCAGTTTTCTTGCAGTGCCTTTGTCTAACTTTGGTATCAGGTTAGTGCTTGCTTTATAGAATGAATTAGGAAGTGTTCCCTCCTCTTCAGTTCTTTGGAGGAGTTTGAGAAAGATTCTTTAAATGTATGGTAGAATTCACCAGTGAAACCACATGATCCAAGTCTTTCTGTTGTTGTTGTTGTACAGTGTTTGATTATGGATCCAATCTCCATACCAGTTATAGGTCTATTCAGATTTTCTACATCTTCCTGAATCAGTCTTGGTGAAGAGGGGCTACTTTGATAGCATCACTGAGCTATGGCCATTATAAGTACCACTCATTGATCATCAAATGAGTACTAGCTCATTTGATCCTGCTAGTCCTCTTACAATATCAGTTCCTGATAATCCCACTCACTCTTCTGCTCAAAACCCTCCAAATGCTCCCTATTTCCCTCAGAGTAAAAATCAAATCCCTACAGTGGCCCACAAATCCAATACAAAGTACCTCTCTGAACTCACCTCCTATTGTTCTACCTGACAAGGAAACTGGAACTCCGTGAGGCTACTAAGCATCTAATCCATTTCCACTCTAATGATAACCCTCCAAGCAGCATGGGAAACTCAGGTCAACAGGTCAGACATAACTTCTATGGGCTGTGCAGAACTCATGCTGCAAATAACTAAATAACTTTTCCTTTGCTCTCCTTGTCTAGGCTCCATGCCCATCCTTTGTCTTTTCTTGGCACAGTCTTTTCTAATACCTAGGATCATTTCATTAATTTAGTTTCAGTTCCTTAGTTAGAAGCAGATCCAAAACATGTTCCCCTGAAGCCATCTTAATTGAAATTGGGTGTCTGAGAGACTCCTCGGATATCTATTAACAGAAAAGCTCTTGGAACTCTTGTTCACCTCTATAGGTAAATGATATTCAATATATTGATTTTTATTTCAATGTCTTGAAGTTGTCTAGAAGCCAAGACTTGGGGGTACCATCTGCAGATGTCAGTGCTGCTTGGAAGCCTATTATAAACTCATGTGTAATCACCCATCACCCATCATCCTACCTGCACTCTGCATCCCCCTTATCTAATAGCATTACTGGGATCAGCTCTACTGGGATCAGCTCTGCTGGGCTATATTTCCATTTTCTGGTACAAACCATTTTTCCTGCATTTCTTTAGAATGAAACCTTCCCTACCTTTCCCTATGGGCCTGAACAGAAGATGAGAGAATTTTAGCCTACCTACAAAAACAAATGCCCTATTAGTGAAGGTCTCTGTTAAACATATTGTTTGACATCAACATTTTAAAATATATGGTAAATAATAGATTATTGCAATCAAACATTAATTTTCTAGTTCCTTTTTATTCTCCTGAGCAAAATTACTGACTGTCCCTCCTTCCACAAACACAGAAGATATTTGAGTGGCCTAGTGAGAATCCCATTCCATTCCATTTCAGCCCTGATCACTTCTTATGCCAGCTTTCTACTTTCAAAAGATGTTAAACACAGTGGCATGATCGTGCATGATATACCCAGTCAAGAATTTTCCAATCTGGATATTTAGTTGCATCCCAACCGGAAAAGAGAGAGGCAGCTTCTTGGCTTCTCTTAGAATGCAATAAATGGATAGCTCTCATAAACCATGAAAATTTACATGGTGCAGATTTGGCTATTGGCAACTCTCCATAAAAGACTGCAGAGAGTGGCAAGAATGCAAAATTTTCAGACAATTCAGAGATGAAAGGCATCGACTTATATTCCAAGCTAAGACATAAAAGATGAGGGAATAATTTAACCAAATTTTAAAGCACCGTTTATTTTCAAGTGAGGTTACCATTGCATTTCCAATTCAGTTAGAAATAGGGCATGTTCTGTGAGTAGGTATTGATATATTGGGGGAGAGAGAGTCAAAGGGAAGAGGTCGACCCATATCTTTGAGCAGCACTTATTTCCAGCTTGTCAGAGAAAAATCTACCAATCTGCCCAGGACCTGGTTGTTCCTTTGCCTTCAATTTTCACAGGTAGAAAATGCAAGTTCAGGGTTGACGTCCTTCATCGGCAGTGGCCTAGAGTGCCTACCCAAAGAGTCACTGGGGAGATTTCAACTTATTGACAAGACCCATTTTTCTAAAATACCTACGTGTGTATAGCTGAAATTTCCAGTCTCTTGATGAAATAACTTGCAGTTGTGCATCAGTTAAAAAATAATAATTTCACTATTCCACTCACTGGGTATGTTGGAAACTTTAAAATGTCTTACGGTCTAGGAACCATAGGGGCTGGTTGAATGGATGTGCTACATCAATTATGGGAAATTAGAGATTTCTTTTTCCAGCCACAGACATGGTTAACCTGATCTGAACTGCTTTTAGTTTTCCACTTGCAGTTCCTCCTTTCCAAAGAAAATATGGCTCCTCAAGTTAACACTTTTTCCAATATAAGATTGACACTTGGTTTTGTAATTCTGCACCAGGGAAGGCCGGAGGTTGGAAATTTTAGGCAGTTAGAGGAAGGGGAATCCTCCACAAAGGACATCAAAATGCCGTGGGAGGTGTTTATGATCTTGTTCTGAAAAGCTGGTTTGTGTGTGTTTCGTGTTCAGTTAAGTGGAAAATGACAACTGAGGCAACTGTTGGAACCTAAGCACATAGGCAGGATTTGATTGCCCATCCTAAAGGAGAAACTTCCCGGCAAATGAGTTACGTGCACAGTCCTGTAACTTAAAACATCAAATCTCAACAAAAAAGGGTAGTAAGATGTGCCTCACATAACTTATTAATTATAATTAGTGCAGGGCTATTTGCAAATGAGAAGTTGACTTTTAAAACTTAAGGAATTTTTGATATAAAACAATGCATGATCGTGTAAAAGTGCAAACTGTTTATATGAACACCTAGAGTTAATTCAAAGTTATCTCTTTTGTAAAACCACTCTCACCCATCTGCTTTCTGGTATACCAGCTCAAGGTGGGAAGAAAGGCAGCAGTAGAGATGGGAAGTTGCAGGCCACCAGGAATTCCTGACCACGCTCCTGACTGTGAATAGTGGTACAAGAAAATCATAGACACAGAGGCCGAATAAAGGGTGAAACCCGGTCTAAGGAGGCTCTTGAATGGGGACAGCAATGTGTATACCCTTAAGCAGTAATAATAATGTGTATACCTTAAGCAGCAATCTGTATACCCCTAAACAGTAATAATTCCTCTCTATCTGGAAATCGTTTTCCTTTTTGACCAAGCTGGATGCTTTAGGTGGGGTCAGACTTGAGACAGTAAGGGAACAAGGTCACCAGTGGCTTAGATCCTGGTACTTGGGGAGGTGATGGATCTCCCAGATGGCTTTCATCCCCAGGTCTTTTCTGAGAGTTCCGGAAGTGCTGTCTTTAGGAAAGACAGCCCTTTTGACTGAGTTTTTGCCGGAACCCTTCTGACCTGGCTGCGTAAGACTTGCGTCTCTATAGGCAGAAGTGACTTGGTGCAGTGATGTTGCAAATAGGCCTGAGGTATTTTCACCCTTCAAAACCATGAAGCAAATATTGGTAGCCTCTAACAATTAGAGGCACGTGGGGGCTACATGTCTGTCCTCCTACAGCTTGCTCCCTGGTGATACGTTGCAATAGAGAATGTCTCACGTGAATTCTGCCACAAGTACAAACATCTGCTGGCAAGCAGGCACAAAAGAGTCCTATTTCCTGATCCTGTATACTGAACAAAGTCACCAGAATCTGTCCTTTTATTATTTACGTTTTTATTTTGAGACAGACTCTCACTCTGTCACCAGGCTGGAGTGCAGTGGTGCCATCTCAGCTCACTGCAACCTCTGCCTCCCGGGTTCAAGCTACTCTCCTGCCTCAGCCTCCCGAGTAGCTGGGATTACAGGTGCCTGCCACCACACCCAGCTAAGTTTTGTATTATCAGTAGAGATGGGGTTTGCCATGTTGGCCAGGCTGGTCTTGAACGCCTGATCTCAGGGGATCCACCTCCCTCTGCCTCCCAAAGTGCTGGGATTATAGGCATGAGCCACCAAGCCTGGCCTCTGTCCTTTTAAATAGTAGCTCATTGCATGAATAAATTAACATATAGGAATACAACAGTACTCGAATGGCAAAGCCATCAAGTCTTCTAATCAAATGGGGGTAAAGGACCAAATGAGGTTCAAGATCCATCATGCTTCTGTAGAGGACTTGGTCATTTGAATGTGACATGTTCTTTTTGTGTGTGTGTGTGTGTGTGTGTGTGTGTGTGTGTGTGTGTGTGTGTGAGACAGAGTTTCACTCTGTCTCCCAGGCTGTAGTGCAGTGGCACAATCTTGGCTCACTGCAACCTCTGCCTCCCATGTTCGAGCTATTCTCCTGCCTCAGCCTTTCCAGTAGCTGAGATTACAGGTGTGTGCAACCATGCCCAGCTAATTTATGTACTTTTTAGTAGAGACAGGGTTTCACCATGTTGGCCAGGCTGGTCTCGAACTCCCGGCCTCAGGTGATCTGCCTGCCTCGGCCTCTTATACTTCATTTTGCAAAGGGAAAGATGCCGGTCAGTCACGTCTCTTGAATACTGTTGTTCTCACAAGTGAAAAAATGGTGTCCCAAGTCTCTTATGCTAATTCGCAAACCCTCTGGTTTAGGTTCCGCTAGCCTCCTGTGAAACACTGTAGCCCCCTCTGGGTGCAGGTTCCCGATTAGGGTCCTTCAGTGACTAACTAACCATCTGTGAGTGTAGTTGGCAAAACTGACTTTGCTTTCAAGTAGGAAAATAAGGAAGATAGTGCATGAACTTGGCTTTTGGTCATTGTTGGGTGAGGAGGGGATGCCCAATGGTGCTGTCACCATCCTGTGAGCATGAGAGCAGGAGCCTGCAAAGAAAAACAAACAATCTAGGGATGGCGGCAGAAGACAAGAAAGAACCTGGGTCTTCCATGATGCCATGGAACCACTCCAGGTGCAACTGCCCGTCCTTAGGGTAGAGATACTCAGAGTGTTTACACTACGGTATTTTAAAATAGCCCAAAGCTGTTACAACAAGTTTATGTTTTTCAAGGATAGACCTAACTACCCCTGGGAAGTCTCTAGGTGGCCTCACAGCGATCTCAAACTCAATGTGTTAAAAAATGAGCCATCGGCCCGGTGCGGTGGCGGATGCCTGTAATCTCAGCACATTGGGAAGCTGAGGTGGGCGGATCACTTGAGGCCAGGAGTTCAAGACCAGCCTGGCCAACATGGTGAAACCCCCCCCTCTACTAAAAATACAAAAATTAGCCAGGTGTGGTGGAGCACATCTGTGCTCCCAGCTACTTGAGAGGAAGGTGGGAGAATCGCTTGAATCTGGGAGGTGGAGGTTGCAGTGAGCTGAGATCGCACCACTGCACTCCAGCCTGGGTGACAGACCGAGACTGTCGCAAAAAGAAAAAAAAGAAAAAAGAGCTATCTCCCTTCCTAAACTTCCTCCTTGTATCATTAGCATGCTTTCAGTGGCAAAACCCAGAAAATCTTACTCAAACTAAATACTATGCAGACGTATTATCTCACTTATAAAAAGCCCCAATGTAGAGAAAATACTACACAGATGTATTATCTCACTTATAAAAAGCCTCAATGTGGAGAAAAAGTGTGTATAACTGTATGGGTACTTTTAACAATAAGCCACAGAAATGAGATAAATATTAAATGCTCTTTTAGCATTTATTATCTTATATTGCAAATGCTGATTTGTCTGGCTTCTTGCCTAACAACAAGCGACTCAAAGGCAAAACCAATGTTTGATTCTTCATAGCATCTTCAGCACATATTAGGCCCCCATGAAAGTTTGTTGCCCTAAGAAATGAATGAAGACTTTAACACTTTAAAGTTAGACTTCACACTTATTACTGAGTAAGCACAAAAGAAATAACCTGTTAAAGATTTTATTTGAAATTATGTGTTCCTGATTAAATTAATTACTTTTTTCTCATTAAACACCCTCTAGCTTAACGATATGTCTTTCTTTTTTTTTTTTTTTTTTTTTTTTTGAAACGGAGTCTTGCTCTGTCGCCCAGGCTGGAGTGCAGTGGCACGATCTCAGCTCACTGCAACCTTCGCCTCCCGGGTTCAAGCGATTCTCCTGCCTCAGTCTCTCGAGTAGCTGAAATTACAAGCATGTGCCACCATGCTGAGCTAATTTTTGTAGTTTTAGTAGAGACGGGGTTTCACCATGTTGACCAGGCTGGCCTCAAACTCCTGACCTCAAGTGATCCGCCCACCTGGAACTGTAATATATGTCTTTGGCTTTGCTCTCCAATTTAGACAGTAACCCATTAAGTGCAAGATTACATCCTTCATCCTTAAATCAGATAAACTAAAAACATCTTTTAGATATTGAGTTCTCTGCATATCAGAAAAAACCTCAACCAGATGGATCGTAAAGCTAAAATTGTGAAAAAACGTACATCTCTTCTTGGCAATATGCTTAATATAGTTTGGTGTCTCATTAATGTGACCAGTGCTATTTATATGCTTCTCCATGTGCTATTAATGTCGCAGAGAATAATAAGGTAAATGCATCTGTTTGTTTTCTTCTGTTCCTGATTCAGTGGTATCATTATTTATGTTATTAGTATTCTATATTTTCTCCTGTAATGCTTAAAGTTCTGTATAAGCAGTTGCTCTTTCTAATATAGTACTGCAGTCATAAAAGCGATTATCCTCATTTTGCAAACCGGAAAACTGGCACATCCAGAGGTTCGTTCTCTGCCGTGCAAGAAATTTCAGTGAGGGGCCAGGAAATGGGTGAAGAGGACAGCCAAAAGGAAACCATTCCCTCTAGCAGAGTTCACTTGAAAATAAAATTTTCTGAGTACTGTGTTTCAAATCTGAATAATACACAGTTCCTTCTTCAAGGGAAAAAAATTATCTTGGAACCTATTCTCCCACGTGGCCTTAAATTGTTTCTATCAAGTTCTAGAATAATGAATGGATCACAAAAATATTAGCAATGATAAACAAAGATGAAATAAGAATAGATGAAGGCTTGGCTAGGCACGGTGGCTCACGCCTGTAATCCCAGCACTTAGGGAGACCAAGGGGAGTGGATCACCTGAGGTCAGGAGTTTGAGACCAGCCCGGCCAACATGGTGGAACCCTGGCTCTACTAAAAATACATAAGTTAGCCGGACATGCTGGTGGGCACCTGTAGTCGCAGACACTCGGGAGGCTGAGACACAAGAATCACTTGTGTCCGGGAGGTGGAGGTTGCAGTGAACCGAGATCGCACTACTGCACTCCAACCTGCACAGCAGAGGTGAGACTCCATCTAAAAAAAAAGAAAAAAAAAGAAGGCTCTATACCATAAACACCTCCTCAATTTTGATTTTATTGGTTTATCCTTTAATTTATTCAATAAACATTCATTAAATGCCCTCTAGGTGCCAGGCATTGTTCTAGGTGCTAATCTTAATAGATAAAAAGACAAAATGACAGCGCCCCCATCCTCAAGTTCTTCATAGTCTAGTGGGAGAGTCAGACACAGAAACAAATATACAGCAGTGTCATTTGATAAGTGCGTCAACTGAGGTAAGCACCAAGTGCCTGGCAGCCCAGGAGAGGGCACCAGACCAGAAATGGGTGTTGGGGATGGCGCCAGGAAAGAATGGCAGAGAAGGGGCCAGAATAGTGGCTATATGAGCAGACAGTGTTGAAATGAAAATGCTTAAAGAACAAAGATTTAAAAAAAATAAAAGTCAGTCTGCTGGCACTGTTTGTTCTATACTTCTTTCACCTACGTGGGAATGCATGTCAGCAGCCCAGACCTTTGCTGCTTTTTATTTATTTATTTATTTATTTATTTATTTATTTATTTATTTTTTGAGACAGAGTTTCACTCTTGTTGCCCAGGCTGGAAGTGCAGTGGTGCGATCTCGGCTCACTGCAACCTCCACCTCCTGGGTTCAAGCGATTTCCTGCCTCAGCCTCTTGAGTAGCTGGGATTACAGTCATGCGCCACCACACCTGGCTAATTTTGTATTTTTAGTAGAGATGGGGTTTCTCCATGTTGGTCAGGCTGGTCTCGAACTCCCAACCTCAGGTGATCCACCTGCCTCGGCCTCCCAAAGTGCTGGGATTACAGGCATGAGCCTCTGTGCCTGGCTTTTTTTTTTTTTTTTTTTTTTTTCTGAGAGGGTCTTGCTTTGTTGCCCAGGCTGGAGTACAGTGGTGACCCTAGCTCACTTTAGCCTGCAACTGCTGACCTCAAGTGATCCTCTCGCCTCAGCCTCCCAAAGTCCTGGGGTTGCAGGTGTGCCAGCACTCGCGGCCTCAGACTTTTAACTTAAGATGAATATTTCACACTCCTGGATTTCTCAGGGGCTGGCCTATTGGCACTCGCTCCAGACGGGGAGCCCGGCTGGGCATCTAGGGCCACCTGTGCCATGCTCTACTCCCACCCAGTGCAGAGGCTGTCAGGCCCTGCGCTGCTCTTGGATGCTCAGAATCACTTGGGGGAGTTTTTAAAAAGTTACTAATATTAATGCTAACACCCCAGAACTTGGTAGTTAATTGTTCGGAGATGGAACTATGGCACCCGTATTTTTAAAAACCTCCCTCTAGTAATTCTAACACGCAGCCAGAATTGGGAACCACTGAGCTACTTCATGGAGACCGAGGATTTGTGAAAGCCGGGCTCTGAGAACTGGCTGGCAGTATTTCCGTGAAATAGGCAATGAAATATCCTAGTCAGCATCATGCAACAGCTTCCGTTATCCTCGCAATTTTCTAAATTCCTTAAGGAAAACAGTTCCCACTACCAGGTGTGAAGGATTCCTGGCCATTGCTTTGTCAAGTCAGGGGCAGAACAAAGTAGGAAGGGAAAAGGAAGTTTCCATGACGTATTCACCGTTTTTAAATTACTCTTTCACAATCTGTAAGTGATGCCTTGTCAAATCTCCTTTGAAACTTAAAAATTGTTCTGCTTATGAGCGCTGCACAGAGACTTTTTTTCCCCTCCTATCTTGCAAAGAGAATTGGTGGCATCCTTCAAATATTCATCTCCAAAGCATAATTATATACTTGGCAACTAACTGGAGATCTTTCAAAACTTACCTTCAAGCTCCGTGACTTGTCCCTCCAAGAAAAAAACAGAAACAAAAACAAAAAACCCAACCAGATGGTTTTGTGAAGAGAATAAAGAAGAAAAATGGCAGAAGGGTTTTATCCTTCCTTCTCTAGAATGGATTCCAACCAAATGATTTCAACGGGAGATCTTGTTTTCCTTTTACCTTGGACGTTATGAGAAAAAGGCCCTGCCTGCTTTAAGAAATCCTCAAAGGTAACGTCTTTTCTTTAGCTGCTAGAGATTTCCTGCTTGGGCTTCACTATGTGACATTGCAGCCTTAAGGTCTCATTCACACCTCTCCAGCTGCCTGCGGAAGTCATCAGGCAGTGGTTTCTTGCATCACACAGACTGCCCTCTCAATCTCTCAACTTTCTGCAGGGAAATTTTGGATTCGCTCCGTCTGGCTCACTGAATAGTTTGTTAGCCAGGGTTCTTTCAAGAAACAGAACTGAGAGAGATAGAGAGAGAGAGAACACAGAACAGAGAGAGAGAGAGATACATTTTAAGGAGTTGATCCATGCAGTTATAGGGGCCGGCAAGTCCAACATTCACAGGACAGGTTAGCAGCCTGGAAACTCAGGCAGGATTGGACACTGCAGTCTTTTTTTTTTTTTTTCAGTCAGCAAAAATATTTATTGTGAATCTATTATTTGCTAAGAAACATTGACTATATTAGGTACATAGGATGCATTAAACAAAATTCCCAACCCTAGAGCAACTTGTATGGTTTTTGTTTGGTTGGTTTTAAAAAATGTTTTATTATTTATTTATTTTAACTTTTAAGTTTAGGGTTACAAGTGCAGATTTGGTGTTACATATGTAAACTTGTGTCATGGGGGTTTGTTGTAGAGACTATTTTATCATCCAGGTATTAAGCCTAGTACCCATTAGTTATTTTTCCTGATCCTCTCCCTGCTCCACCCTCCAAAAGGCCCCAGTGTGTGTTGTTCCCCTCTGTGTGTCTATGTGTTCTCATCATTTAGCTCCCACTTATAAGTAAGAACACACGATATTTGGTTTTCTGTTCTTGTGTTAGTTTGCTAAGAATGATGGCCTCCAGTTCCATCCATGTCCCTGCAAATGACATGATCTCGTTTCTTTTTATGGCTGCATAGTAATCCATGGTGCATATATACCACATTTTCTTATCTAGTCTATCATTGATGGGCATTTAGGTTGATTTCATGTCTTTGCTATTGTGAGCAGTGTTGCAATAAACATACGCATGCATGCCTTTATGGTAGAACAATTTGTATTCCTTTGGGTGTATACCCGGTAATGGGATTGCTGGGTTAAATGGTATTTCTGTCTTTAAGTCTTTGAAGAATCACCACACTGTCCTCCACAATGGCTGAACTAATTTACACACCCACCATCAGTGGATAAGCATTCCCTTTTCTCCACAACCTCGCTGGATGCTGCAGTCTTGAGGCAGAATCCTTTTTTGTTGGGAAACCCCAGTCTTTCTTCTTAAAGCCATTGAATGATTGGATGAGGCCCACCCACACGATCAAGGCTTTATTTAAAGTCAGCTGATTGTAGATGTTAACCATATCTACAAAATACTTTCACAGCTACTCCTGGATTCGTGTTTGATTAAATACCTAGGTACTGTGCCCTAGCCAAATTGACACCCAAGACTATCACAAAGAGTTTGATGAAGAGAATTAATTTATTAATATTTTCATCAATTTGTAGAATAATGAATGGGCCACAGAAATATTCACAATATTAAACAGATTAAGTGAGAAGAATATATGAAGGCACTATACCATAAAGCTCCCCCTGATTTTGATTTTATTGATCCATCCTTTAATTTGTTCAATAAACATTTATTAAGCTCTTCCTATGTGCCAGGGCCTGCTCTAGGTGCCAATCATAATAGATAAAAAGGAAAAAAAGAGCCCCTGCCCTTAAATTTTTCACAGTCTGGTGGGACAGTCAGACACATAAACAAATATATAGTAGTGTATATTTATTGGGTTTTGGAGTCAGAAAAGCCTGAGCTTTAGTCCCCCACCAACGTGCTCAATGGATATTGAGCTCATCTCTTAAACTTTCAGAGTAAAATTTACTCTTCTGAAAATTTGGGGATGGGGTGTAGATAAGAAGTTTCTAAGGCAATGATGTCACATTTGTCTCTAAAATTTGGAGCCTTTCATGATAATTCAGTGTCCTGAGTTCTTTCCTCATCATCTTAAAGATATAAACACCTTGTGATTATGGATTTTGTGCTGAGTTTCGTTTCGGTGAGTGAAAAGGTGTTCTCTGGAGAAGGATGGATGAAAAAGGAATCAATGGTGAGATTTCTAGAGAGAATAGTTACAAGGGAATTGATTGACAGGATTAAATTGAGGATGATGGTGTGTAGCATGGTGTCTACAGAGCCTTTGCCTGGGGAATCTTACTTTCTTTTCTTTTTTCTTTTTTTTTTTTTTGAGACAGAATCTCACACAACCTCTGCCTCCCAGGTTCAAGCAATTCTCCCATCTCAGCCTCCTGAGTAGCTGGGATTACAGGCACCCACCATCATGCCCAGCTAATTTTTGTATTTTTGTAGAGATGGGGTTTCACCATGTTGGCCAGGTTGGTCTTGAACTCCTGACCTCAGGTGGGGAATCTTACTTTTGATTCTATGGCTGGTAGTTCTACTCTCCTATACCCAACCCTGGCCTGCTACCTAATGGGACTTGTTCATGCTCAAAATAGATTTCTCCAGGACCCTTGAATTATTTTAAGTTTCATTTAGACCATGGTTGGTGTTAAATACTCCACAGAAGTGTCAAGTCATGAAACTACTATGTTTATGACTTGGCTCAACTGGTTGGTTTTTAAGTTTCTATTCATCTAAAATATGCTTTTCTCTGGCAATGAAAATATTGTCAGGTAAATTAAACTGCCATTAAAGCAGCTCTTGACTCAATTCCTGGCCCTGGTAAGCAGAGATGACCTCAGAAACGCAGTTAGGAATCAAATCCAAGCTTGGTGTTAAGAACTACTTTTCATTTTCCCCAGGTCTGTATTTTATCTTTGACTTGATAATTTTAAAAGGAAAGATGTTTGTGAATATTCAGGATGTAATGGATTGCAATAAGGAAAATAAAATTATCCGTATGGTTGCAGAAACACAGCAGATGTGCTGTACCTATCAAGGTGCATCTGCATCTTACAGGCACAAATCACAGCTCAAACGACTAAGAAAAGTACAGCTTCTGTTACTGAAAAGGCCAGAGTCAGGGCAGGCATCACAGTGGCTTGATGCAGTGGCTCAAAGATGGCACCGAAGACCAGCTCCTTCCACGTGGCCTCTGCTTTTCACGATGTCAGCTCCCTTTAGAAGCTGACTCCCCTCTTGCTGGCCACATGGCTGCCAGTAGTTCTGAGGGTTTTAGATCATCACATCCTCGTTCAGCTGGAAGAGAGAGATGAGCAGGGAGAGGGCACATTCCTTTTCCAACCATAGAAAAACTCATGGACTTTCTTCTGTTGTCCTCGTGTTTAAGGGATAAGACCACTCTGCTTGGATTAGTCAAGTCAGGTCTCACCTCTGGAGCTGGGAGTGACGAAGTCTTTCCCATAGCACATTGCCATTCAGCAGGACAGGGGCACCGTGGACTCAGAAGAGGCTCCACGACCCCTGCAGATGCATTTCACAAATTATTTGGATTCATTTTCCCTTTAAGAATTTTCACTGGTGGCCGGGCAAGGTGGCTCACGCCTGTAATCCTAGCAATTTGGGAGGCTGACACGGGTGGATCACCTGAGGTCAGGAGTTTGAGACCAGTCTGGCCAACATGGCAAAACCCTGTCCCTACCAAAAATACAAAAATTAGCCAGGCATGGTGGCACATGCCTGTAATCCCAGCTGCTAGGGAGGATGAGTGGGGAGAATCGCTTGAACCCAGGAGGCAGGAGTTGCAGTGAGCTGAGATGGTGCCACTGCACTCCAGCCTGGGTGACAGCAAGACTTTGTCTCAAAAAAAAAAAAAAAAGAAAAAAAAGACTTTTCATCTATGATATAAAAAATTGGTTAGTTGGATTCAAGATTTTTTTTTTAGCCATAGTATTTGTTATATTTTATATAGGTGGGGGGAAGATGTTGAAATTTGGGGAAACAAATCATAAAATACTTTCTCTGGTTACTAAAATGGAAATGTTAAGCATATTTTCTTCTCTTCTTTGAGAAACAGTAAAATTTATCATTCTCATGGAAGAACAGATGTGAAGTAAAAAATTGAAGTAAACAAAAGTCAGTCATGGAAACATTTACCCTTAACTTTTTATTTCATTCCTTTCCCCTTATTTCCTTCCCAACCATCTACACACAACAAACATAATGGATCTGAGGAAAACTGAAAAAGATGAGCTCGATTTCACTTTGGGAGTTAACTAAGCACCAGATAATTACACTGGTGCTCTCTGGTAAAATCTAGAAGTTCTTCCTGTATATTGTGAATTTCACTTGAGCATCAGCAAGTTTGAGGAAGACCTCCCATGATGAAGGTGTTGGGATAGAGAGGGAGAGCTTGGTTTTTAATCTAATCTTCACGGCTTTGATGTAACGGGGTTTTAAGCTCCCATCCATCACTCCTTGTCACCATTGCTATCCTGGTTAGGAGCCAGTGGCAGAGCTTGGGTTGTTGGGAAAAGGGTGATCATAAAAACTTTTTATGTGTGTATTGATATGTATGTGTGTTTCTGAGTGTATACCTTTGTGTGCAGTGTGAACATGCGTGTGTGCTCTGCCTGTGTTTCTGTGTGTTGTGTTTGTGTCTGTGTGTGTCTACACACTGACAACTACGATCACTCTTTTTACCATCTTTTTGGTAATGCCATAAATAGCTTTTGAGCTAGAAACTTTAGAGGGTCAGCTTTGTACTTTGGGAACACTGATACTTTATTAAAATTATACTTAGTGGATAAAATTACTCAGTCTTGGCATTTCTCTTATACAATGTGCTATTTGAATGGCTAAGCTTTTATGAGTCATTTTTTTTTTTTTTGAGACAGGGTCTTGCTCTGTTGCCCAAGCTGGAGTACAGTGGTGTGATCACAGCTCACTGTAGCCTCAACCTCCTTGGCTAAAGCAGTCCTCTGGCCTCAGCCTCCAAAGTAGCTGGGACCACAGGCATGTGCCACCACACCCGGCTAATTTTTGTATTTTTTGTAGAGATGGGGTCTCGCCACATTGCCCAGGCTGGTCTTGAACTCCTGTGGCTCAGCAAGCCACCTGGCTCCATCTCCCAAACTGCTGGGATTACAGGTGTGAACCACCAAACCTGGCCAGCTTTTATGAGTCTGATGCATTCATCTTATAGTCGCCAACAGATTCTTTCCCACACAGAGGTCCCACATACACGATGCGATTAAACTCCACAGCGTGGTTCACTTACATCAGGATTGACAGTTTGCGTCCTATACTAAAACTCTTCTTATTCACAACCGAGGTTTACTAGAACCTATATGTCTTTGTATCTGGACTACCTCCCAGAAAAGAAGCAAAACACTCGTCTGAATGTTTTGCTGGTAGAATGGGATAGGGAAACCTCTCAGGGTACAGGATCGAGAAACTGCAAAGCTGGATGCCTTCCAGGCACTCTGTCCTTCCTCCCTGGAGGGAGGCTCAGAGATGATCACACTGCAAAGAGGTGAGTGAGGGGCAAAAGGGGAGAAGCCCTCAAGTCAGGGAGATTGGTTGAGTCCCTTTTTCCAGGCTTCACTTTCCAGGCTGAGCACAAACAGGAAGGATGGATTGCCTGTCTCTCTGGCCACAGCCCATGGCTTAGGCTCCCTGCGGGAGTCTGCTGCCTCAGCAGATGGGATATTGGGAAACCAACAGGCTGGGAGTGACATCAGTCTGAAATGGAAAAAAATCCTCCTTGGCCCAGTAAATATCACAATAGGGAAACCAGTGGGTATTTCAAAAACACCAGAAACCCAGAGCAAGGGAGGTGCCATGGATTAAACCTATTTTCTGATTCCCTTCATTCATTTTGCAAACTTCTCACCTTCCCAGCCATTTGGGAAACTCACTGGTCTTGTTCCCAGCCCTTTACCTCCTTTGGAGGCGGAAGTGGAAGCCCAGGCCTGGGCTTCAGTCTCGGTGCGTTACAACCTTCTCTCAGCAGCCTGGCACTTCCTCAAGCTCTTGGCCCTGCAGCTCTTGCGGAACACAGAGTCAACTCTAGAAGCAGCTGTGTAGGGTCGATAGATCTCTGGGGATCCCAGGACTCCTCACAGTTTTTTCAAATAATTTCCTTATAAGGAGGCCGGGAGTAGTGGCTCACGGCTGTAATTTCCATCACTTTGGGAAGCTGAGTTGGAGGATCGCTTTAGCCCAGGAGGTAAAGGCTGTAATGAGCTCTGATCACATCACTGCACTCCAGCCTGGGTGACAGAGCTGGACCCTGTCTCTAAGAAAAAAAAGAAAAAAATCCCATATAAGTTCACTCTATTCAACTTGTCTTCCCTGGGAGCTCTGCCCAGTGCTTCGAACAGCCTAGGTTTTCAGACTCCCCTTCTCAGTGGTGGTTTCCCAGCTGGACTGTTCTGCTCACAAAAGCAAGCACAGGCCATGCTGTATGGTCCAAGCACACTTAGCTCCTGGCAGGACAAGGGCTGTGTATGAGAAATTGTACAAACATCAAACATTTTCCCAAAACGTCCTCTCGTTTTAATAATGAAGAGTTGCATTGGAAACCCATGTGTGCATCCTCCTTGGGGAGGCTGGGGTGGGGTCTTTGTGTCTGGATTCCGCCGCTCCCCTGGGACCCTAATGAGGAAGGGAGGCAGCAGATGTGCAGAGCCCATCTGCCCAGCTGGGGCCCATGTGCTTCCTCCTCATTACCTAGCGGATGTCAACAGCACATGGGGCCAGGCCCCTCCCAGATGTGCCACCATGGAAACCATGCCTTGGGCAGGTCTGCTCCTGATTGCTGAACTGGAACAAGAGTGAAAAAGCTGGAGGCCAAGCTCCCCCATCGTGCCCACCCCTGATTCCTCATGGTACCCTGAGGGGTGTCCAGCATCTGCCCATGCACCCCACAGCCTTCAGGTCCCCACTCTGTCCCATCCCTCTCCAAGAAGCCACCCTTGGAGCCCCCTTCCCGTCTAGAAGCATGCACCACCCAGGTAATTTTTAAAATTTTTTTGTAGAGACAGCATCTCACTGTGTTACCCAAGCTGGTCTCAAACTCCTAGGCTCAAGCAATTCCCCCATCTCAGCCTCCCAGAGTGCCAGGGTTACAGGCATGAGCCACATATCCAACTGAGACTAGAACGGTGTTGCCTTTGATAGCTTTGCAGTGCTATTTTATTGTTTTTGAGACAGAGTCTCACTCTGTTGCCCAGGCTGGAGTGCAGTGGCGTGATCTCAGCTCACTGCAACCTCCCCCTCCCGGGTTCAAGCGATTCTCCCGCCTCAGGCTCCCGAGTAGCTGGGATTACAGGTGTGCACCATCCCGCCCAGCTAATTTTTGTATTTTTAATAGAGACAGGGTTTCACCATGTTGGCCAGGCTGGTCTTGAACTCCCGACCTCAAATGATCCACCCACCTTGCTCTCCCAAAGTGCTGGGATTACAGGCTTGAGCCACCATGCTCGGCTTGCAGTGCTTTAAAAAAATGCTTTTCTAGGGAGTTCTATGTTTATGTCTTTCCGTTACGATGTGGCTCCCCTGGTTTCCAAAGACACCCCATGCCCCAAGTCTTGGCTTTAGCCACAGGCAGTTGTCTCTGGGGATACCTTTAGAAGACGCTTGTGGGTGAGAGCAATTCTTCTTCCATAAGAAAGCCTTGAGGATGCTACCAATGGGTTTTCATCCTGGCTTTGCCTCCATATTGTTCTTCTGGCCCAGGGTGATTTTTTCCTGGTGCCCTCCTCGCTGGAGCTGTTCGCTTCCAACTTCCGGAGTTCCCAGGTGCCTTAGGCCCCACCCCCTCGCTCTTCAAGATGGCCTCTGAGGTGCCTCCTGCATGGCAGCCTTCCTGGCGTTCCCAGGTGGGATTAGACCTATCTTTCCTTCCCTGTTTCTGACCTTAGGTTTCATTCTCTCAAGAACTCTTTGTGGACGTGCTAGTGGCTCTCATGACCCCTCCATAACACATTTGTGTTGGCATAATGTGGTTTTGGAACTGTGCCTTTTCTCAAAAGACATGGTTGCTGGCAATTTTAGGGACTTCAGCGGGATGGTAGGGAGGATGGTGCCCCTGCTCCCTGGGATGGAAGAGGGCAATGGGGAGAGATGGTCCAGATAGAGGGATATGGAATAAGCAGCTCCTGGGCTGCTGGCTCGGTTCCCATCTCTGCGAAGGCCTCGCTGTGGCTGGGATGTGAACTTTGGTCATGACTTGGTTCTAGTAAGGCTGTTACATTATTCATTTGACCAGGGAGAAAGGGTGCTAGGGCCAGGGGAAATTATTATATAATGAAGTATGTGTTTTAGTAAATGGATGAACTCACATTCTAGCTTTGATATGCTGAGTAGATTTTAGCCAGGAAGAAGGAACAAGGCACTGCCAGATTGATTGAGAGGGGGAAGGGGAAGGAGGACCTCACTGGTGGGGCGGAGCTGACAGTGCATTAGGTCACACGGAGGGCACAGCCTTCCATCCGGCAGTCACCCCTCAGAGTCTCAATCAGGCCCTGGATCCTCAGACAAGCTGGCTTTTAAGAGTCTGGCAGATCACACAGTCTGGGTTTTTGTTTCTTCTAAGTGGCATTGTTTCCTGGCTTATAAACATAGCCTTTCCACCTTGGCAATTCATCCCTTCCGGAAAGGGTGGCTGGCACTAAGCTCCAGCCTCTCGCAGCCCTTGGATTGTCTCATCTGGTGCTGAACTCCGAGCACACCAGAGAACACAGAGGCTTGGGCTCTACGAGAAGCATTCTGGCTCTTTTTCTTATTTTAAAGGAAAGTTACTCTAGATCCCAAAGGTATAATCAGATCTATTCTTACACCCTGCTTTGAGGAAGAAGTGGGTAAAATCCAGGCCAGTGGGCGCTTAAGCAAGGAGGCCACATGGTCCCTCTGGGGGTTGCTCAGGCCTTGAGGGCCCTGGAATTTTACCTGGTTTTCGTTGTGCTACATCTTGGTGACAAGCTGTACCTTCAAAACCTCTCGGTATTAGTCAGGGTTTGTAGTTGCAAGCAATAGAAATGGAGTCACCAGGACACTGGAGAATTAGGCTCTGGGCTGACATCCAGGGACCACACCCCAGACTGCTGCAGACCCAGCCTGGTGACCGCTCTGCTGCAACTTTGACCTCAGAGGCTGCAGCCTGGTCCTCTGATTCTGCTGGCTGGCAACACCAGACCACTGTTGTCGGGCCAAGAATGCAAATTTGCTTAGTGGCCACTGTTTCCAGTTCTTCTACTTTAAGCTGCTAGCTTCCCATTCAGTCTTGGGGTGGGGACATACCTCAGATTGTAAGAAGTCAGGTCAGAGCTAATGCCACAGATACAGGAAAGATGGGACTAGTTAGCTACTGATATCATCAGCATCTAGATTGGGAGGTAGGCTCTGCTTCCTCCTGAAACTCAAAGCGAGGAATTCCATAGACATAGAAGGAAAGTTCAGATACTAGGTGGCCAAAAAGAATGACAGATGTCCACTACCCTCTATTAGAGCTGACCTTGACCCCCATGTGCTGCTTCCCAACTTGAGGACATTCACTCATTCTTTCAACGTACATTTATTGAGCACTTATTACAAGCCAGGCACTGTGATTACTTCTGAAAATATAGAGATAGAAGAAATGACTTTCTTCTTAAGTAGCCCACAATCTAGTTGCTAAAATAGACAAGTAAACAAAATTAGAATGGTACAGTAAGTGCTTTGATAGAAGTATGCACTGAGCCACCTCATCAGAGGAGGCAACACATAAATTGAATCTTGAAGGATAATTGGGAATTGCCAGGGCAAAGGAGGGTGAGTGTGTTTCAGGAAGAAGAACTTCACTGTAGCTGCATGTGGTTGCAAGGAACTTGGTGGGCTGGGGATGGAGGGACAGGCAGAGATGGATCATAAGAGCTTTGCATGGCTTGCTGAGGAGTTTGAATTTTATTCTGAAGATTATGAAGACTCTTTGGGGTACAGTGCACCCCCTCCACCAAGGGGCAGCCAGAGTGCTTCATTAATTGGGTCCCAGATCCTGTGCCTCCTGACTGGGTGAGACACCCCCAACAGGGGTTGCCAGATACCTTATACAGGAGTGTTCCTGCTGGCATTAGCTTGGTGCCTCTCTGAGACAGAGATCCCAGAGGAAGGAGCAGGCAGCCATCTTTGTGGTTCTGCAGCCTCCACTGGTGACACCTCCAGGTGTGGGAGGAACCCAGATGCATAGGATCTGGAGTGGACCCCCAGCAAACTGCAGCCACCCTATGGAAGAGGGGCCTGAATGGTAAAAGAAAAACAAACAGAAAGCAACAACAACAACAACAGCATCAACAAAAAAATCCTTACAAAACTCCATCCAAAAGCCAGCAGCCACACAGATTGAAGCTAGATAAACTCACAAAGATGAGAAAGAAGCAATAAAAAATACTGAAAACTCAAAAATGAGAGTGCCTCTTCTCCAAATGATCACAACACATCTCCAACAAGAGCACAGAACTGGGCAGAGGCTGAGATGTATGAATTGACAGAAGTTGGCTTCAGAAGGCGAGTAATAATGAACTTTGCTGAGCTAAAGGAGCATGTTCTAACCCAATGCAAAGAAGCTAAGAACCACGATAAAATATTACAGGAGCTGTTAACCAGAATAACCAGTTTAGAGAGGAACATAAATGACCTGATGGAGCTGAGAAACGCAACACAAGACCATCATAATGCAACCACAAGTATCAATAGCCAAATTGATCAAGTAGAGGAAAGAATTTCAGAGCTTAAAGGCTATCTTGCTGAAATAAGACAGGCAGACACTATCAGAGAAAAAAGAATGAAAAGGAATGAACAACACCTCCAAGAATGATGGGATTATGTAAAAAGACCAAACCTACGACTGACTGGGGTACTTGAAAGAGACGGGGAGAATAGAACCAAGTTGGAAAACATACTTCAGGATATCATCCAGAACTTCCCCAACCTGACAAGATAGATCAACATTCAAATTCAGGAAATTCAGAGAACCCCAGTAAGATACTCCATGAGAAGATCAACCCTAAGACACACAGTCATCAGATTCTCCAAGGTTGATATGAAAGAAAAAATGTTAAGGACAGCCAGAGAGAAAGGTCAGGTCACCTACAAAGGGAAGCCCATCAGACTGACAGTGGACCTCTCAGTAGAAACCCAACAAGTCAAAAGACATTGGGGGTCAATATTCAACATTCTTAAAGAAAAGAATTTCCAACCCAGAATTTTATATCTGGCCAAACTAAGCTTCATAAGCAAAGGAGAAATAAAATCCTTTTCAGACAAGCAAATGCTGAGGAAATACATCACCACCAGGCCTGCCTTGCAAGAGCTCCTGAAGGAAGCACTAAATATGGAAAGGAAAAAGCATTACTAGCCACTGCAAAAACTCACTGAAATACAAAGAACAGTGACACTATGAAGCAACTACTCAACAAGTCTGCAAAATAACCAGCTAGCATGATGATGACAGGGTCAAATCCACACATACAATATTAACCTTAATTGTAAATGGACTAAATGCCCCAATTAAAAGACACAGAATGGCAAGCTGGCTAAAGAGTCAAAACCCATTGGTGTGCTGATTCAAGAGACCTATCTCACATGCAAAGACACACATAGGCTCAAAATAAAGGGATGGAGGAAAATTTATCAAGCAAATGACAACCAGAAAAAAGCAGGGTTGCAATTCTAGTTTCTGGCAAAACAGACTTTAAACTAACAAAGATCAAAAAAGACAAAGAAAGGCATTCATAATGGTGGTAAAGGGATCAACTCAACAAGAAGAGCTATCATATATATATATACACTCAATACAGGAGCACCCAGATTCATAAAACAAGTTCTTAGTGACCTACAAAGAGACTTAGACTCCTACGCAATAATAATGGGACACTTTAACACCCCACTGTCAATATTAGGCAGATCATTGAGACAGAAAATTAACAAGGTTATTCAGAACCTGAACTCAGCTCTGGATTAAGTGGACTTGATATATATCTACAGAACTCTCCACTCAAAAAGAAGAGAATATACATTCTTCTCAGCAACACATGGCACTCACTAAAATCAACCACATAATTGGAAGTAAAATACTCCTCAGCAAATGCAAAATAACAGAGATAATAATAAACAGTCTCTCAGACCAAAGAGCAGACAAATTAGAACTCAAGATTAAGAAACTCACTCAAAACCACACAACTACATGGAAATCGAACAATTTGCTCCTGAATGACTCCTGGGTAAATAATGAAATTAAGGCAGAAATCAAGAAGGTCTTTGAAACCAATAAGAACAAAAAGACAATATACCAGAATTTCTGGGATGCAGCTAAAGTAGTGTTAAGAGAGAAATTTATAGAACTAAATGCCTACATCAAAAAGCTAGAAAGATCTCAAACTGACATCCTAACATCACAGCGAAAAGAACTAGAGAACCAAGAGCAAACAAACCCCAAAACTAGCAAAAGACAAGAAATAACCAAGACCAGAGAGGAACTGAAGGAGATAGAGACATGAAAAACCCTTCAAAAAATTAGCAAATCCAGGAGTTGGTTTTTTGAAAAAAAATAATGAAATAGACCACTAACTAGACTAACAAAGAAGAAAAGAGAGAAGAACCAAATAGACAATAAAAAATGATAAAGGGGATATCACCACTGACCCCACAGAAATGCAAACAACCATCAGAGAATCCTATAAACACCTCTATGCGAATGAACTGGAAAATCTAGAAGAAATTGATAAATTCCTGGACACATATATCCTCCCAAGACTGAACCAGGAAGAAGGCAAATCCCTGAATAGACCAATAACAAGTTCTGAAATTGAGGCAATAATAAATAGCCTACCAACCAAAAACAAAAATAAAAACAAACAAACAAAAACAAAAAACAAACAAAGAACTACCCAGGACCAGACAGTTTTACAGCTGAATTCTACCAGAGGTACAAAGAGGAGCTGTACCATTTCTCCTGAAACAATTCCAAACAATTGAAAACTTCAGGCCAATATCCCTGGTGAACATCAATGTAAAACTTCTCAATAAAATACTGGCAAACCAAATCCAGCAGCAGATCAAAAAGCTTGACCACCATGATCAAGTTGGCTTCATCCCTGGGATGCAAGGCTGGTTCAACATACACAAATCAATAAATGTAATTCATCACAAAAACAGAACTAAAGACAAAAACCACATGATTATCACAATAGACACAGAAAAGGCCTTCAAAAAAAGTCAACATCTCTTCATGTTAAAAACTCTCAATAAACTAGGTATTGATGGGACATACCTCAAAACACTAAGAGCCATTTATGACACCCACAGCCAATGTTATACTGAATGGGCAAAAGCTGGAAGCATTCCACTTGAAAACTGGCCCAAGACAAGGATGTCCTCTCTCACCATTCCTATTCAACATAGTATTGGAAGTTCTGGTCAGGGCAATCAGGCAAGAGAAAGAAATAAAGGTATTCAAATAGGAAGAGAGGAAGTCAAACTGTCTCTGTTTGCAGATGACATGATCCTATATCTAAAAAACCCCATTGTCTCCACCCAAATGCCCCTTAAGCTGATAAGCAACTTCATCAAAGTCTCAGGATACAAAATCAATGTGCAAAAATCACAAGCATTCCTATGCACCAACAATAGACAAGCAGAGAGCCAAATCATGAATGAACTCCCATTCACAATTGCTGCAAAAAGAATAAAATACCTAGGACTACAGCTAACAAGGGAAGGACCTCTTCAAGGAGAACTACAAACCACTGCCCAAAGAAATCAGAGAGAACACAAACAAATGGAAAAACATTCCATATTCATGGATAGGAAGAATCAATATTGTGAAAATGACCATACTGCCCAAAGTAATTTATAGATTCAGTGCTATTCTCATTAAACTACCATTGACATTCTTCACAGAATTAGAAAAAAATACTTTAAAATTCATATGGAACCAAAAAAGAGCCCATATAGCCAAGACAATCTAAGTGAAAAGAACAAAGCTGGAGGCATCATGCTACCTGACTTCAAACTATACTACAAGGCTACAGTAACCAAAACATCATGGTACTGGTACAAAAACAGACACATAGACCAATGGAACAGAATAGAGATCTCAGAAATAAGTCCACACATCTACAACCATCTGATCTTCAACAAACCTGACAAAAACAAGCAATGGGGAAATGATTTCCTATTTAATAAATGGTGCTGGGAGAACTGGCTAGCCATATGCAGAAAATTGAAACTGGATCCCCTTCCTTATATCTTATACAAACATTAACTCAAGATAGATTAAAGACTTAAATGTAAAACCCACAACTATGAAAACCCTAGAAGAAAATCTATGCAATACCATTTAGGACATAGGCACGGGCAAAGATTTCATGATGAAAACATCAAAAGCCATTGCAACGAAGGTGAAAATTAACAAATGGGATCTAATTAAAGAGCTTTTGCACAGCAAAAGAAACTATCATCAGAGCAAACAGACAACTTGCAGAATGGGAGAAAAAATTTGCAATCTATCCATCTGACAAAGCTATAATATCCAGAATCTACAAGGAACTTAAATTTACAAGAAAAAAACCATTAAAATGTGGGCAAAGGACATGAACAGACACGTCTCAAAAGAAGACATACATGCAGCCAACAAACATATGAAAAAAAGCTCAACATCATTGATCATTAGAGAAATGTAAATCAAAACCACAATGAGAGACCATCTAATGCCAGTGAAGGAACTGAGAAGGGTCAAATTAACAGAGGTGGGAAGAAAGCCAGAAGACTGAAAGCATACAGAAGAGAGAACTCAAAGAGGAAGTAGGAAGACCAAGAAACACAGAGATTAAAATGTGTGCATTTGATCTTGGTGGAAAGACGTCATTGGTGACCTTTGTGAGAGTTGTCGCAGTGGAGTGGTGGCCAGGAAGATTACAGTAAGTAAAGGAGAGAAGGAAAGTCAAATAGTGGAGATAAGAAGTGCAGAATATTCTTCAGGAAGCTTGATTATGAAAAAGAAGAAACAAGATAGGGCAGGAGCTAAGGGGAGATATTGAATCCACAGTGGAATTGCTAAAATATGAAATATGGCCATTACTACCTCTCCAGCATCTTCTTGCCAGGCAGATACTGGTCTTTGAATGCATGCAATCCACTGTCACTCTTGTCTTTCTCTCCCTTCATCTCAGCCAAGGAGGAAAAGAGAAATAACTCATCCAGCAGGCATTTCACGAATATTTAGTGAGTAGCTACCCTACCCCAGACACTGCTTTCAGTTCATCAGTGAACAAACAGACAGTGATTGCTGATCTCAGTAAGCCCACTGCAAGCAGCATTAATAATGTACTTTGTTAGCATCATCTGACATCAAAACATACACTGAGCCAGGTGTGGTGGCTCACACCTGTAATCCCAGCACTTTGGGAGGCAGAGGTGGGAGGACTGATTGAGACCAGAAGTTCGACACCAGCCTGGGCAACATAGTGAGACCCTTGCCTTTACAAAAAAAAAAAAAATGAGCTGGGTGTGGTGGCATGCACCTGTAGTCCCAACTACTCAGGAGGCCAAGGTGGGAGGACTGCTTGAGCCCAGGAGGTTGAGGCTACAGTGAGTTGGGTCATGATTTTGCCACTGCACTCCAGTCTGGGCCAGAGAGCAAGACCCTTTCTCAAAACAAAACAAAAAACAAACAAAAATCCCCAAACACCTGTGGAAATATTACCTGCAGCTAATTCTGTAGCACTTGTTAATTCATGGGCAAAATTTATTCAGAAAGTTAGGGAGTTGGCCGCACGCGGTGGCTCATGCCTGTAATCCCAGCACTTTGGGAGACCGAGGTGGGTGGATCACGAGGTCAGGAGATCGAGACCATCCTGGCTAACATGGGGTTTAGTAGAAACCCCGTCTCTACTAAAAATACAAAAAAATTAGCCTGGTGTGGGGGCGGGTGCCTGTGGAGGCTGAGGCAGGAGAATGGCGTGAACCCAGGAGGCGGAGCTTGCAGTGAGCCGAGATTGCACCACTGCACTCCAGCCTGGGCGACAGAGCGAGACTCCATCTCAAAAAAAAAAAAAAAAAAAAAAAGGGAGTTATGCATGGAAAGTCGAGGAGAGGAAGAATAACACCATTTTGTCACATGTAACATAAGAAAAAAATAACAGTGCTGGTGACTGGATTTGAAGGAATTGGTGGGTTTTCAAGAAAGGTATTTAAAACAGACTCCCCTTGGGGCTCAGATCTGGGGTCAGTGTTTGGCTGGGCAGAGGGTATCCTCCATCCCTCCTGGAGATGCAGGGATTCACACTTTTCTCCACTCAGTGCTGCTTTCCCTCAAAGACTTCTTCGTAGGCTGGTGCGGTGACCTTAGTGGATGCTCTCTCTCTGGCCTAAAACACGGGGCTCCTCTCTTGCCCTCCTCTCTTCTTGCTCTCAGGTGGGGCAAACAAGCCCCTTATGGGCTAACTCTCCCTCTTCTTCCAGGTGCCTGGCTTTAGGCCTCACTAGTCTGACACTCCAAGCCTTACTCCTTTCTGGTTTTACCTGTTTCCTGAGCAGATTGTCTTGACAATCTGCTCAATATCTCAGCTCCTGCCTCGCTCTTTTCATTCCTCTTTCTGTAGCCCAGGTTCCTGCCCCCAAACCCTCACCTGGTACCCTGATTCTGGCTGTCATCTTGCCAGCCACTCCTCTGACTCCCAAAGCCATGGGGAGCCCCATCCCAGTGCTGTCTGCTTGTTGGAAAATCCTAATGTCACCTGTTGACTGTTCTCAGGGCCCAATCAGGTCCTGTTGTAGTTTTCACACATCGTTTCCTGGCCGCCAAACTGGATTTACTTTTAACACTTAACAGAACATTTTTGATCACAAGTGACAGAAAATGAACCCACACTTGCTTAAGCTAAAAAGAGGATGTATTGACTTGCAGCTGAATAGTCCAGGGGCTAGACTATTTTTAGGCACAGCTGCATAACAAATGATATCATCAGGACTCTGTCTAGCTCATTTTAAAAATAGACTTTGTTTTTTAGAGCAGTTTTGGGTTTATAGGAAAATTGAAGGAAGGTACAGAGTGCCTCCATAATCCCCTCTTACTGTCCCCTCCCTGTGCACACAGTTTTCCCTATTTTTAACATCTTGCATTGATGTGGTACATTGATTACAATTGAGGAAACAATATTAGTTCATTATTATTAACTAAAGCCCATATACGCATTAGGGTTAGCTCTTTGTGTTGTATAGTTATATGGGTTTTAAAAAATTCAGAAAGTCACTTTTCCACCATGACAGTATCATATAGGATAGTTTCACTGCCCTAAAATCTCTGTTCTCCACCTATGTCTCCTTCCCCCGTACCCCAATGGCCACCACTGATCATTTTATTGTCTGTATAGTTTTGCGTTTTCCAACATGTCATAAAGTTGGAATCATACAGTATGTATCCTTTTCAGACTGGCTTTTCACTTAGCAATATGCATTTAGTGTTCCTCCATGTCTTTTTGTGCCTTGATAGCTCATTTCTATTTATACCTGAATAATGGGCCATTGTCTGGATGTTCCACATGTGTGTTTATTCATTCACCTATTGAAGGACATCTTGGTTGGTTCCAAGTTTTGGCGAATATGAATATCGCTTCTATAAACATTCACGTGTAGGTTTTTGTGTGAATTCATTTGGGTAAATGTCAAGGACCATGATTTCTGGATCATATGGTAAGCCTATGTTTAGCTTTGTAAGAAATTGCCACACTGTCTTTCAAAGTAGCTGTATCATTTTGCATTCCCACAGGCAGTGAATGAGCATTCCTGTTGCTCTATATCTTCTCCGCAATTTGATGTTGTCAGTGCATAAATTTCAGCCATTCAAGCAAACAATCCAGGGGATAGACCAACTAGAGATAGTTGGATGTCAAACAGTGCCATCAGGACTCTGTCTTGCTCCTTCTGTGTCTCGGCTTTTCTTTCCCCTGGGCCAGCTCCAGTCTCCTGCAGGGATTCACTTCACGGTGTCTCTCATTGGCTTTAGGAATACATGCCCACAACTCCAAGTTCAGCATAAAGAGAATACCTCTTTCTAGCACAAGTTGTAGAACTTGAATTATGTATCTATCCCTAAAACAATTCTTGTGGTCTGGGAAATGAAATATTTTCCCTTTATTCGCTCATTCATTCATTCATTCATTCATCATGAACACTTACTATATGCCAGGCACTGATGATAATTGGTCAGGCCCAAGTCACACATTCCAGGAGTAAAATTGGTCCTCTACCCAAATCCCATGGATGGAGAGCTGAGGCAGTAAGTTTCCCCAACGTGCTGTTATCAGAAGAAAGCTGGATGGATCATGGATGCCTGGCAGGTAAAAATACCTTGTCCTCCACCTACAACTGTGGAGTCTGTCCCCAGCGCCTGCCCTACTCATTGAGTGGGTATAGTTCTATGTATCAGTCCAATTTCCCATTTCTGGATCATTCCAATTTCTCCAAATCCAGCAGTTGGCTGGGGCCTTCCTGGTCAGATCCCAAGGTGGGACACCGTGGCAGATTAGCACTCCCGTCATGGAGCGATGGAGGCTGCTTCTCCTCCTTTTGAATCTGGGCCACCCTGTGATCACTTTACGTAATGGGATGTGTATGATGAACGTTGTTCTACTTCTGGACCTACCCTTTAGAGGACCGGCAGCTTTTACCTTCACCTTTTAGAAGCCACTTGCCATGTTAGAAGTATGAATATCCTGAGACCACCAAGCTGGGAAAAGTGTAAACCATAAGGCTCCAGGTATGTGGAGGAGGAAGCCATGGTGAAAGGGTCCCCTTCAACCCAAGTCACCCCAGCTGATGCACATGCATGAGAGTCAGACAGCCCAGCTGAGTCCTTTCCAAATTCCTGACCCACAAAGTTGTGAGCAAAATAAATTCATTGCCTTAAACTGCTGGTTTGGGGGTTGCTTGTTACACAGCAACAATGTCCAGAACAGACGGCAACTAGTGTTACAATATAATCAATGGAAACTTAGCACACTAACCCAATGGGCCCGATCCATGTGTTGGGGTAATGTCCGAATTCCTTACCTTCCTGAGGCCAGGGCCCAATCCATGTGTCAGGGGTAATGTCTGGATTCCTTACCTTCCCGAGGCCTACAGGTAGTCCCGCAGGTGCTGTTGACCTCATTTTGCATTCACTCCTCTAACCTCCTTTTTTAGGTGGCGTGTGACACGCTTCAGGATACCCAGAAATAGGTTACTGCTGGGAATCCTAAGGGAATCTTTTGGAGTTGAAAGGGTCCTGAGAGACCATCTCATTTTAGAGCTAAGATTTAAAGAGCCCTAAGGAGGTTCAGGGCCTAGACTGTGGTCAGGAGGAAGCCTGGCCTGCAACTCAAGACAACTATCAGTTACACCACTTTCTAGTCAATAACTGATTCTCTAGATAAGTGGGTGAGCTCAGTGGTGACCTAGATAGTGCCTCGTTTTCTCTGAACTACGCCTTATCTTTTCCCTAACTCCCACTCGTAACAGATTTGCTATTCTGAGAGCTTCATCTTATCTCATTTAAGACTAAGATAACCTGCACCCTGGTGTCACATGCGGATTTGGATTCCAATCCAGTCATTTATTACCTTTGGGATGTTGGGCAAGTCACTTAGCTTTTTGGAATTTAAGCTTCCTTTGCTGCAGAATGGGGAAATCTTCCTCCCTGGCTGCTGTACATTTGTACGTGTAAATATAGTAAATTCCAATGAGACCGTGTGTGTAAATTGGTCCTCACAGTGCTGGCACATGGGAAACACTCTAGAGTGGTGGCATTAGCGGCTGCTGTGTCGGGGGAATGAAACGCCTAGAGACCGAGTTTTTATCCATGAATACATGTTGTTCCAAGATTTTCAGCACATTGTATAACATCGTCACCAGTCAGGGGGATGAACTGCATTTGCAGATGGAAAAAAAAATAAATGAACTGAGGCACAGTGCTTGTGGCTGGTACAAGTTTAGCCAACGAAGGAGAGAGAGAGAGAGAGAGAGAGAGAGAGAGAGAAAGCGTGCACGCACAGCACTGCATGGGCCAGGGAAGCCTGGGAAACGTTTTCAGGGAAACCTCTCGATTGGGGAAGGTAAGTTTTTCTTAGGTCATTTCCCTGTGAAAATAAAATGCTTGCTTTTTTGTTTGTTTGTTTGTTTGTTTGTTTTGGAGGCCGAGTCTCTCTCTGTCACCCAGGCTGGAGTGTGGTGGCATGATCCCAGCTCACTGCAACCTCCTTCTCCCAGGTTCAAGCAATTCTTCTGCCTCAGCCTCCCAAGTAGCCAGGGTTACAGGTGCCTGTCACCACGCCCGGCTCATTTTTTGTATTTTTAGTAGAGACGGGGTCTCACTGTGTTGCCCAGGCTGGTCCCCAACTCCTGAGCTCAGGCAATCCGCCCACCTCGACGTTCTGAAGTGCTCCCATGAGTCACTGCACCTGGCCTAAAATGTTTTTTCTATGGAGAGGAAATGCTTTTTTCCCTTCTTCTCCCCTCTCCACTCCTCTCTTTCTCTCTCACCTCCTTTTTCTCCCCATATCATCCCAACTCCCCCTCTGTAATATATGAATAAAAGAGAAGCCCTACAAGCCTAACAAAAGAGCCCACTGTAAGGCAGAGATGAATGGAATCTCTCTGCTTTTTCTCAGAGCGCTGACAAGATCTCTGGCTTGGTGGTGCTCCGAGAAATCCTCTTAGCTCCCTTGTTTTTGCTTCCTTCATTTCTCCTTCCCTTTTCCTTGTCTGTCTCTGGGCTCTCAAGCCTTCATACTCCCCGCCTTCCTCAGGCAGTGAGGTCTGCTGTGTGGCCTTTCCCCAGACTGCCAACAAGGCCGCCTGGTGTCGGCTTCCTATCTGAGTGCTGGGGGACAACATTATCAAGGCTTCAGTGGGTCTCTCTGCAGCTCTAAACCACAACATTCAACTGCTGTTCTGTTTGCATGATTTCACATTGCAGTCATTGAGAATCTATTTTTAGATGACCCTTTCAAAATTCTACTGTCGAATGTGCTGAAATAATACTGCTTGCTTGTGATTGGACATAAATCCCAGGAATATTTACCCCTGGCCAGAGTTAAAGTCACTTTTTGGAAATGATCAGTTAATGATTTATGATGTTTATACTTAGTGAAGGTTTTTCATGGATCTTGGACTCAGAAAATAGCATTGATTTATAGGACCAATGAAGGAGATTGAGTGATAATGTGTTTTTCTTGTTTTTATTTTTTGGTAATGGACTTACTGTTCTTACATAAAGTAGTATTCACTTTAGTGCAATAGGCTGAAGAGTACACTAAGGATAGAGTCTTAATTATGAGTCTATAAGAAAGCCATCCCAAACAGTTTGGCTTGTCCCTTAGATTGAGGCGAACTACTCAAATCACCAGAGGTCTGCTATAAATAGGCTGACAAGTTGATGTTAACATATTGTGTCTTTTAACTTTCATAAGCAACCCAGTAGAATATGAATTTTGGATTCTACCTGTGTTTTTCTTCAGCTCTGCCTGTCTCCTGACTTGTGACTTTGACCTAATGACTTCCTGTCTATGGACTTGTGTCTTGAAAACTAGAGAACAAACTGGAGATCTCTCAGTTCCCTTTCAGCTTGTCCAGTTTAAGGCTGGCTACCATAATATATTCTGGAGGTACATGCTGTTTTAGAGACTTTGCCACACAGGGGGACTGCCATCTTTTAGGACTTCCATCTTTGTTATCTGCTCGCTCCCCCTCTTCTTTTCCCTTTTCCCTTTTCCCAGGCACCATACATAAAATCTCTCATGATATTTTATTGCATTTAACCTATAATCATTCCCTACCTTCCTCTTAGGTTTCTTGTAATAATAAAACATAATAGATACATAATAGCCCTTTGGGACATTTTAGTACTGTAGAGATATAGTAATGTCACTAGGAAATGTAGTCATGCTAACCCCAAATCTTAGGTGTGACCATGGCTACATTTCCTAGAGACGGAGTGTAGACCCCACTCAGTAAAGCTGGACAATCGCAGATCCCTGGGAGTTGACTATGAAAGGCTTTCCAGTGTATGCCCTGGCTCAGAGAGGACTGGCAGAACTCCAGCTACTCTTCTGCTTTAAATTCTATGAAAAGGAGTTTTCCCATTCTTCCTGAACAGTGCAGGCCAATGCTTTATCCCCTTGCAATTGGAGAATTTTTCCTAGAGTCATTCTAAAGCACGCTATCTTTTGTCCTAAATGTTCTTGCTTATCTGTTAATGATGCATTTCACCAAAATGGACCTGAAACCGAAGTGCCGTCTCCTCTACTGGGCAGACAGACATCCTGAGGAATCATCTTGGAGGCCACCAATTGACTTTCAGCAAAGGCCCACCCCAAAATAGCTCCAACAGATGAGTATCTACCACAGGTGTCCAATCTTTTGGCTTCCTGGGGCCACATTGAGAGAAGAATTGTCTTGGGCCACACATAAGATTCACTAACATGAATGATAGCTGATGGGCTAAAAAAAAAAATTGCAAAAAATCTCATAATGTTTTAAGAAAGTTTATGAATTTGTGTTGGGCTGCCTTGAAAGCTGTCCCAGGCCCCATGTGGCCTATAGGCCATGGGTTGGACATGCTTGATCTATCCTATCACAAAAGGCCGTTGGCTCTTGAGGAATAAATTCTGCTTATTTTATCCGCTGGAATGGACAGGACCTCAGAATGGACACCGAATTATGACCTAGTTTTGCAAGAGAAGCCTGGAGACAGCAGGTGGATGACATCTTGCTGGACACCTGCAAGTGTGGCAGCTGATGCAGGCTGGCTCGAGACTCACTCTGCTGACTTGGCAGATTCGGCTGGAACAGATGGGCCTCTATGTGCCAGGGGAGGAGATTGCGTATATCAATTTGTTTTCTTCAGGGGATTTATACAACTGTGTCCACTGCATTTCACTACCAAGGTACTTGACAAATGAACTATTTAAAAGCACAAAGCTCAGTGAGCCAAGATCGCGCCACTGCACTCCAGCCTGGGTGACTGAGCAAGACTCCATCTCAATAAATAAATAAATAAAAGCACAAAGCTGTAAAGTAATGCCAGGATCAGTGGAACATTTATAGACCCAAATTGTCACTCCGCTTGAGCAATGGAGGTGTGCCCTAAGTTCTGGAGCACAGGTCCTGCTCATTCTTAGTAATCACTGGTACAATTCAAAGGTGTCCAATCTTTTGGCTTCCCCGGGCCACATTAGAAGAAAAGGAATTATCTTGGGCCACACATAAAATACACTAACACTAACGATAGCTGATGAGCTAAAAAAAAAAAAAAAACCTCACAAAAAGATTTCATTATGTTTAGGAAAGTTTATGAATTTGTGTTGTGCCACCTTCAAAGCCGCCCTGGACCACATGTGGTCTGTGGGCTGCAGGTTGGACAAGCTTGATTTAGTAAATGCTTCCAACTCCCTATAGGTCAGGATGGGCCAATGTAAGGGCAATATAATTGGGCTGCAGTTGGTGCGGGACAGTTCTGGTGTGGATGAGAGCACCACTCATTATCATGGAAACCAGGCAATTTTCCCCCAGTGGCTTATTAAGCCATGATGCAATGGATCTTTGATTCAATGTGTGGCAGGACATTTATTACCCTTGTTATCGTAACATTGTAATCTCATTACAAATTGATTGGCATTGTTTTCAGAACAAGAAGTTGTATATATTTTTTTTTAAAGGAAGTCCAAATGTGCAAGCTTGAACAAATCTAGTCCCAAGTTTATGTAGGTGTGTTTGGCAGCCCATGTATTAATTCAGTGGCTCAAGAGTTGAACACGTTGCTTCGGTACCTGTTCTCCTCTCAAAGTCCTCTCTAAATACCAGGTGCCCAGAAACTCTTTTCAAGGACATTTGTTGAAAATACTTCCAAAGGGTTTATGCAGTTAATATGGCCAAATGAAAAACCTGTTCAGGGAGAAAATGTGGAGAAGCAGTGTGGTTTGCTGAGAAGAAGATGGGGTCTGGAATCAGACAGAGTTGGACTTGAGTCTTGGCTATTTACTCACTGTTTCATCTTGGGCAAGTTGCATAGTCTCTTTGAGCTGCCAATTTCTCCTTGTTAAATGGAAATGATAAAACCTGCCTCCCAGGGTTGTGAGAGAAATAAGTTAGACAATAGGAGCTGAATTAACCACAGTTTACCTTATCATTATTTTGGACGACCTTTCTCCAGTGCTATGGGTATTTATTCTAATATTTAAAAGCCCCATGATATATCATTTGACAGTATAATTTCCTGGTTGAGACAGACAGACTGGTGTCACTCTACCCTTCATTTAGGAACTAGTTTATCATCATGGGTAAAACAAGCGTATCTTACTGGATATCATTTCTACTTAACATCATTTTAGTCAGGTTTGTATGAAACTTGGTGGCATTTTGTTAACAAAAGATCTCAGTGATCTTTGCATGATGCTGACAAAATTGAAGTAAAATGTGATCTCCGTTGATGAAAAATTGAATCAGATACATTAGATCGACTCTGGGCTGTTTTATTTTGAAAACGCAGGTGAGGTTGATTGCATGTACTATAGCTGATATTCCTTTCTGTGACAGAAGTTATAGTGACAGCCAAGAAAGTTCAAATGCTGTATGCAATTTGAAAATGTATTTGGTTTCTGAATATCTAATATTTTAACATATATAAAAATATGCTATATATTATTATGTATAATGTATTCTATAGACTACATTGTATCTAATAATTATTAGATATAATTATATATTAGATATAATATATAATTATTAGATATAGTGTATTCTATAGAATTATTAGATATATTGTATTCTATAGAATACAATATAAGGTATTCCATAACGTATCATAATTATAATATTATATAATATTAATATAATATTAATATATTCTATAATGTACTATAATTGTATTATATAATATTAATATAATATTAATGTATTCTATAATGTATTATAATTATAATATTATAATACATATAATTATAATGTATTCTATAATGTATTCTATAGAATATATTATGTTATATGTTTAACAATGTTATTAAAGAATATTGTTAATTATATGATATTATTATTATGTATGCCTTCTAAATATTTGTACTTTGCACTCAGACAGTCTATGTTCCCATCAGCAAGAATTCTGTTGTGGATTAACTATGTCAATTACAATATAGAATATCAAGTGTCTTCTAGTTTCATATTTAGAATACCTTACATTGATACAGCAGTTCACAGTTTAGAAATACTTTTACATACATTTGCTTCTCGAAACAGCCCTCTAAAATAGTCCAGAAATATATAGTTATTTCTATTTGAAGATAAGGCCACTTACTGGGGAGCCAGGAAATGAAATGGCTTCTAGTAAATGGCCGAACCAACATTAAAAACAGCTCTTGGAACTCCTGGGCCAATCAATATTTTCCCACCACACGGCACTGCCTCCCTGACAAGTTGATTAATTGCCGATCTTTGGGAGCAACTGGTTTATAGAGTGGAGAAATAGGTCTGCTTCATGTCCTCACGCTTGCTTGCGGGCTTGGAATTAGTCGATACTTGCTGAACGATGATGTCTGTGCAGAGAGATAGCCGTTGTAAGAAAATGAATGTAAAACATCAATAGTGTGATTGAGGTGGTATAGAGAGTAGTTTGAGTTAGGTCATTATCTACTTCACCATAGAAACTGAGGCACTTCTGAGAGTGCAAGGTGTTGTTATTAATAATTACATTGGGACCGCAGGTGGGAATTGTTACTTTTCCAGGGGAAGCAGATGTTCGGTCATCTCAGAAACAGTAGCATCACAGGAGGGCAAACGGTGAAAGCAGGGAAGTAGCATCATGCACTGCTTAACAACGGGGATCTGTTCTAAGAAATGCATCGTTAGCTGATTTTATCGTTGTGTGAACATCAAAGAGTGTACTCCCATAAACCTAGATGGTGTAGCCCACTGCACACCTGGGCTGGATGCTGTAGCCTATTGCTCCTGGGCTGCAAACCTGTACAGCATATGATGGTGCTGAATACTGCAGGCAGCTGTAACACAATGACATTTGTGTATCTAAACATAGAAAAGGTACAGTAAAAAGATGGTATTATACTCCTATGGGGCCACTGTCATATATGAGGTCTGTTGTTGACCCAAACATCATTATGCAGGACATGACTGTGCATGCATTGAGAGATTTAAAAAGTTTCTTGTAAACTCATTTATTTATTGATTTATTTTTTGAGATGGAGTCTCGCTCTGTCACCCAGGCTGGAGTGCAGTGGCACAATCTTGGCCCACTGCAACCTCCGCCTCCTGGGCTCAAGTGATCCTCCTGTCTCAGCCTTCCAAGTAGCTGGGACCGCAGGCACCCACCACCATGCCTGGCTAATTTTTGTATTTTTAGTAGAGATGGGGTTTCACCATGTTGGTCAGGCTGGTCTCAAACTCCTGATCTCAGGTGATCCACCTGCCTCGGCCCCCCATACTGCTGGGATTACAGGCGTGAGCCACCACACCTGGCCTTGAAGTCATTGATTTAATCCCGCGCCCTCACTGGACTGAGAGCTCCACAGGGCAAGCACCTTTTCTGTCTTATTTTTTTAGTACCTGACACCTTTTTAGTATTGACACCTAGGTACTCAATAAATGGACCAATGGATTGTTGGATGTTTGGGTACCATTATCCAAATTTTGGATTTTGGTTTAGACACACCAAAGTGAGCAGGTTCAAAACAAAGTCTGTAATATCCGCCTGTGCCTGCTAAGCCCTCTCCCTGATTCCAGTCATGGTGACAGCACCCCTCTACCAGTTGCTCAAGCCAGAAACCACTTAGTCGGCTTTGATCTTCTGCCTCCACTCCCTCACCCCTAAAGTCACCTCTGCCCCCTGCATCTCTAAAATCTGTCCACTGTCCATTCATGCTGCTACTGGTGTGGTCTAGGTGGGTGACCAACTGTCCTGGTTTGCCCGGGACTGAGGAGTTACCCAGGACATAGGACTTTCAGGGCTAAAATCAGAACATTCCTGGGCAAACTGGGGAGGCTGGTCACCATAGATCTAAGTCGCATAATTTCTCGCCTGGTCTACTGCAGTAGCCTCCGCACAATCTGCTTTCTCACCTATAATCCATTCCTGCCCTGTTGCCAGAAAAATTTTTGTAAACACGAACCAGATCATGCCATTGGTGAAAATCCTTCAAGGACTCTGCAAATCTTCAACACACCACCTGGTCGATCAGGCTTCCATTCATCCTCCAACCTCATCTCTGCATTCTCTCAGCTCCGCTGGTTCCCCAGACACATCATATTCTCTACCTTCCCTCCCTGGGCTTCCTAATGCTCTTGCTCCTATGTGAATTGCCCTGACACCTTTATCTGCCTATAAATCCAATTCTAGCCTTTAAATCCCAGCTCAAGAATATCATCTTGGGCAAGAGTCGGGTCAGGGCACCCTCACCATAGTTCAGTGGTTCTCGTCTTTGGTTTCACATTAAACTCACCTGGGAGAACTTTAAAAAATCCTGATGCCCATGTGACATCTCAGACCATTTCCCATCTCCGGATATGAAACCACCTCAGAGATATTTTTAAAATTTATTTTACTTAAATTTCTGGGATACATGTGCAGAACATGCAGGTTTGTTTCATAGGTATACATGTGCCACAGTGGTTTGCTACACCTATCAACCCATCATCTAGGTTTCAAGCCCTGCATACATTAGGTATTTGTCCTAATGCTCTCCCTCCCTTTGCCCCCAACCCCCCAACAGGCCTCAGTGTGTGATGTTCCCCTCCCTGTGTCCATGTGTTCTCATTGTTCAACTCCCATTTATGAGTGAGAACATGTGGTGTTTGGTTTTCTGTTCCTGTGTTAGTTTGCTGAGAATGATGGTTTCCAGCTTCATTTATGTCCCTGCAAAAGACATGAACTCATTCTTTTTTATGGCTGCGTAGTATTTCATGGTGTATATGTGCCACATTGTCTTAATCCGGTCTATCATTGATGGGCATCTGGGTTGGTTCCAAGTCTTTGCTATTGTAAATAGTGCTGCAATAAACATACGTGTGTATGTGTCTTTATAGTAGAATGATTTATAATCTTTTGGGTATATACCCAGTAATGGGATCGCTGGGTGAAATGGTATTTCCACCTCAGAGATTTTTAAGCTCCTCAGGTGATTCTGGTGCACCCAAGATTGTGAACCACGGGTCTACAGTGAAGCTTCCCTGATCCTATGACTCTTTTTACTTCCTATGCCACTGTGTTGATCCCTCCCTTTATCTGCTCCATACTTATGCCCCCTGACACTCATCACACTACTCCTTGAGGGCATGAACTCTGGCTAATTTGTATTAGCATTCCCACTGCCCAGGACCAGGCTTGGCATCTAGCAAAGGTTTAATTAATGTCAGTAGCATATAGCAATGACCTTGGGCAGCTTACATATCCTTTCTGGACCTCATTTTTCTTTTCCGTAAAATAGGGATAAAAATATTTAACTTGATCAGGTGCGGTAGCTTGCATTTGTAATCCCAGTGCTTTGGGAGGTCAAGGTAGGAGGATTGCTTCAGGTCAGGAGTTTGAAATCAGCCTGGGCAACAAACTGAAATCTCATCTCTACAAAAATGAAAATAAAAAAAAATAGCCAGGTATGACAATGCACATCTGTGGTCCTAGCTACTTGGGAGGCTGAGGTGGGAGGACTGCTTGAGCCCAGAAGGTCAAGGCTGCATTGAGTTATGAATGCACCACTGTACTCCAGCCAGGGCCAAAGAGCAAGACCCCATTTAAAAAAAAACAAAACACATATATCTATCTAACTTGAAGAGTTGAGAATTGAACAACTGACATAAAGTGCCTGGCTTGTATTTTACTTGCTATTCATTACGAGGCAGATTAATAGGGAAGAACATTGTGCCATTTCCCCATCAGGCCTGAATCTAAAGCCTACTCTTGTCAAAAATTAAAGAGAAAAATCTACCCAGAATGAATGCCCACATACTCTTCATCTCATAAGCCAAGGAGGCTGAATAAGATTATGACTTGAAAGTGTTCAGAGGTGGCTGGAGGTCAATGTATGTAGTGTTTTGCTGATGGCTGGACACTGGAAGCACGTGTGTCCCCCCACAGCTGACTGCTTTGCAAGCAGTTTTGCAAATAAATCACCATGCGGTAAGAGGGAAACAATATGACCTCCCAACCCAATATTCTCATCTCTAAGGAGATATCAGGGTGGGGAAGCTGTTGACAAGCTTTCAGTGATGGATAACCCACAAAAATTACCCCTGCTGGTCCAGCTTGACTTCTGCAGCCACTTGGAATGCACACCCTGGGGGTAGTTCTTCTTTCCTTTCCCCTTGACTTTTATTTAGTGTCTTCTGTCTTTATTTTCTCACTGGCTTTATTTTCAAAAATAGTAATTTCTACCGCTGGAGATTAAAAAAAAAAGCACACACACACACACACACACCCCTTATACCAAAGAAAGAAATAATCAAAATGGGAGAAAGATCGTTGCTGGCTATTTTTCAAGAGAGTTGATGGACTGGAGTAAGTTTTGATCAATGGAAAAACTTTGACTAAAAAAATGATGCAAGTGCAGTTGATATTAAAAATGCAAATAATGATCCAAGTCATGGCTTTGAGCCCAGCTCTCAGGCCACCCACAAGCTCACAAGCATTGTGTTGGGTGGACATTTCATTTTACTTTTTAAGTTATTCAAGAGGCTTCCTTACTCCATAAATGTATGGGGGGAGGAGGGTGGCAGTGAATAAGAGACAGAGGGAGAGAGGGAGAGGAGAGAATATGATGATAGGGTTACTGATCACTGGCATACTTAGCTCAGTCCCTTTTCCTTTGTTTGGGATTTAAGAGTTTGCTGTTGAGAGGTATTTTTTATCTTTTTTCCATCTACACAGAACTTTTCTATTTGCCTCAAACTCCCTGAAATCACTTTTTAAAGTTTCTTACTTAAAAATGGGAAGTGAAGTGGGCTATTAAAGCATGGAAATGTGGTGAAGCATCTTGATGTCTTGTTTTAGTGTGGGTTTCCCTAGAAGCCCTGGTGGGAGAGTGGGGAAGTGATTCGAGGAAGGGAAGTCTGTTATTAAGTCAGCTGCCACAGTGGACAACTGGAGCTTAATACCATAGGGAACCTCTAAGAAGAATGTAAAACACATGTCTCAGAATTATCCCACTGGAGGGTGAGGGAGCTGGGGTATTTATACACCAATTCCCAAGAGTCATCAGTTGAGAGCTGCTCCTGGGAGGTGTTAATGGCTTGTCACTTCCAGCCTGTGGATTTCCAGGCTATCCTCTTCCTTGGCTCTAGAAGATGCCCCATGGCACAGACATGCAGCTGCTGACAGTTGCAAGTCCAGGCTGGAACACATTGTAATGGTTAAGATCTAAGAGACGTGGCTCAGGCAGTGTGATGAAAACCCGAGCATGATGGTGTATTTCTAAAATAATACACACCTGTTTTTGAAGGTTAGGGAAAAGTCAGAGTGTAAAGCAGGGGTCCCCAACTCCTGGGCCATGTACTGGTACTGGTCTGTGGCCTGTTAGGAACTGGGTCACACAGCAGGAGGTGAGCAGTGGGAGAGTGAGTGAAGCTTCATCTGTATTTACAGCTGCTCCCCATTACTTGCATTACTGCCTGAGCTCCACCTCCTGTCAGATCAGTGTGGCATTAGATACTCACAGAAGCGTGAACCCTATTGTGAACTGCACATGTGAGGTATCTAGGTCGCTTGCTTCTTATGAGAATCTAATGCCTGATGATCTGTAACTGTCTCCCATCACCCCCAAATGGGACCATCTAGTTGCAGGAAAACAAGCTCAGGGTTCCCACTGTTTCTACATTATGTTGAGTTGCATACTTATTTCATTAGATATTACAATGTAATAATAATAGAAATAAAGTGCACAATAAATGTAATGCACTTGAATCATCCTAAAACCATCCCCACACCCTGGTCTGTGGAAAAATTGTCTTCCATGAAACTGGCCCCTGATGCCAAAAAGATTGGGGACCTCTGGTTTAAAGGACTCTTTAGGGGGGAAGGCACAAGAAAGCAGCTGATAATTTGGGAAACATGGAAAAGTCATTTAATCTGCCCTGGTACTTTCGGGCAATACTTCCTACATAGGATCAAGCCATTTGCAGAAATTTGGCTGTATAGATTTCTAGCTGCCACGTGGCTAGACGTGGCTTCCAGGGGGAAGCATGACATGGTTCTTTATCTTGGAATATTACCCCCAAAATTTAGCCTTGGGGAACCTGACAAATGCTTGACTGTCTTTCAAGTCTGGCTCCATGCTGCACTGTGCTATGGCTTTGGTCCTTTCTTTTCTCAAGCCTGGTGCAGACATCCTGTCCTGCTGCACCTGTTCTGCTCGGCTCTGAGGCAGGCACACAAATAACACCATTGTCCCTGATTTGTAACAGGAGATGCTTCCCACATAGATTTTTATGTGTTCATTTTCCCCGGATTTGACTGCTTTTGGCCAGGCACGGTGGCTCACGCCTGTAATCCCAGTACTTTGGGAGGCCGAGGCAGGCAGATCACTTGAGGTCAAGAGTTCAAGGCCAGCCTGGCCAACATGGCAAAACCCTGTCTCTACTAAAAATACAAAATTAGCCAGGTGTGGTGGTGCAAGCCTGTAATCCCAGCTACTTGGGAGGCTGAAGCAGGAGAATCGCTTGAACCCGGGAGGCGGAGGTTGCAGTGAGCTGAGATCGCGCCATTGCATTCTAGCCATGGCAACAAGAACAAAACTCCGTCTCAAAAAGGAAAAAAAAAAATTAGCCGGGTGTGATGCTGCATGCCTGTAATCCCAGCTACTTGGGAAGCTGAGGCAGGAGAATTGCTTGAACCTGGGAGGTGAAGGTTGCAGTGAGCCGAGATCGTGCCACTGCACTCCAGCCTGGGCAACAGAGCAAGACTCCATTTCCAAAAAAAAAAAAAAAAAAAAAGGATTTGACTGCTTTTGCTCCCTAGAAATTCATATGTTGAAGCCTTAACCTCTCATATGATGAAATTAGGAGGTGGGGACTTTGGAAGATAATTAGGTTTAGATAAGATCATGAAGGTAGAAACCCCATAATCGGATTAGAGACACTAGACACTTACAAGAAGAGTTACTAGAGAGCTTTCTCTCTCTCTTTCTCTCTCTCTGTCTGTCTCTCTTTCTCTTTCTCCCCCTACCATGTGAGGATACAATCAGAAGACAGCCATGTGCAAACCAGGAAGGGGGTCTTAACTAGACACTGGATCTGCCAGAGCCTTAATCTTGGACTTCCCAGCTTCCAGCACTCTAAGAAATAAGTTTGTTGTTTTAGCCACTCAGCCTCTGGCGTATTTGATATAGCAGTCCAAACCAACTAAGACAGGCACTTTGATTGAACATGAAATCCAGAGTTAAAGATATTCTGTGGTTTACAAACCTTGCCTTTGAGGAGAAATCTCAATCTCTTTCTCCATTCCCTTCCCTTTTCTTCTCCCACCCATTCTCTATAAGGCAACCCTAAGTGTCTCTACTTGCAAGTAGAGTTTCTAGCTTCTAGAAAACTCAGCCATCTCATAAGCCAGCCGCACAAGCCTGGCTCTGTAGGGAGGTAGGAGGATGCTGACCGTCTGAGAGTCTCAGCTTTTCCTGCAGCCTTGTGGATCTACAAATACAAAACCCCACCCAAAGGCATCTGGTCCTCAGGTGCTGTTTCTGTTCTCCCTGCAGAGCTGGGTTTATTTTTGTGGAAATCTAAATCATATGTTTCTATTTCATTTACATTACATTCAAAGCAATGTTGTTTCCTTGCAGCCTTTTGAAGTTATGGGAGCCTTGTGGATGGTTCTGCAAATGTTTACTTTTGAGCCTTCATTCTCAAATGAACTCTAGAAATGTCCCTGTTTCTTTTCCTCACAACCAGTGGCCCTGGAAGAGAAGACACTGGAGTCTAGTGCTTTAGGACCTAGGTGTTGGGGCCTGGGGACTTCACTCTTCAGTGTGGATGAGCTTCTGTCGTTTCCTTCAGTCTTTTTCCTGTCCTCACTATTAGTGGGTTCCTGGGAACTTGTGTGACGATGTTTAGGTGTTGTTTTTTTTTTTCCTTCTGGGATGGTTCTGGTCTAAGCTTCTCATCCTAGGGAACGCTCTCCTCCTGAAAATAAAAATGTGACCACCTGCTCCAGACAATTGCTGGAGTTGATCCATAAGGTTAACAGTGAACTGGGGTTCTGTACCACATTAGTGGGTGGACCATTTGACCATGTGGGTTATCTGCAAAATTTCCTACAAAGCTACAGTAATCAAAACAGCGTGGTGACTGTCTTCTAGTCTATTCAATGGAATAGAATTAAGATTTTAGAAATAAACCCTTTACTTACAGTCAATTGGCTTTTGACAAGGATTCCAACAAAGTTCAATGGAGAAATAATAGTGGTTTCAACAAATAGTGTTGGGACAACTGGATAGACATAAGCAAAAGAAGACTGTTGGACCCCTACCTCACATTATATACAAAAATTACCCCCAAATGTATCAAAGACCTAAATATAAGAGCTAACTATAAGACATTTGCAAAAGAAGACCTAAATATAAGACACAAATATTAGAGCTAAATATAAGACACGTAGAAGACACATGCATAGAAGATACATGCAGCCTTTCCGCGCTACCCACAGAGGAGTCCATTTGGCATTGTTCTGGATTCCCATCATAACTTAAAGGGAAACTTTCACAATGTCCAGAGCCCTTGATGTCCTGCAAATGAAGGAGGAGGATGTCCTTAAGTTCCTTGGAGCAGGAACCCACTTAGGTGACACTAACCTTGACTTCCAAATGGAACAGCACATCTATAAAAGGAAAAGTGATGGCATCTACATCATAAATCTGAAGAGGACCTGGGAGAAGCTTCTGCTGGCAGTTCATGCCGTTGTTGCCATTGAAAACCCTGCTGATGTCAGTGTCATGTCCTCCAGGTATACTGGCCAGAGGGCCCTGCTGAAGTTTGCTGCTGCCACTGGAGCCACTCTAATTGCTGGCCACTTCACCCCTGGAACCTTCACTAACCAGATCCAGGCAGCCTTCTGGGAGCCATGACTTCTTGTGGTTACTGACCCCAGAGCTGACTGCCAGCCTCTCGCAGAGTAATCCTATGTTAACCTTCCCATCATTGCTCTGTGTCACACAGATTCCCCTCTGTTCTATGTGGACATAGCCTTTCCATGCAACAGTAAGGGAGCTCACACAGTGGGTTTGATGTGGTGTATGCTGGCCTGGGAAGTTTTGTGCATGTGTGGTACCATTTCCTGTAAACACCCGTGACAGGTCATGCCTGATCTCTACTTGTACAGACATCCTGAAGAGATTAAAAAAGAAGAGCAGATGCTGCTGAAAAGGCTGTGACCAAGGAGGAATTTCAGGGCAAATCGACTGCTCCAGCACCTGAGTTCACTGCTACTTAGCCTGAGGTTGCAGACTGGTCTGAAGGTGTGCAGATACCCTCTGTGCCTATTCAGCAGTTCCCTACTGAAGACTGGAGTGCTCGGCCCCACCACAGAAGACTGATCTGTGGCTCCCACTGCTCAGGCCACTGAATGGTTAGGAGCAACCACTGAATGGTCTTAAGCTGTTCTTGTACTGGCTCTTAAGCAACGTGGACACAAGTCTGATGGAAAATAAACATCAATCTCTTAAGAAAAAAAGATACATGCCAAAGAAGACCTAAATATAAGACACAAATATAAGACCTAAATATAAGACACATGTAAAAGACGGCCATTGGACCCCTACCTCACACTGTATACCAAAATTAACCCCCAAATATATCAAAGATCTAAATATGAGAGCTAAGACAATACAATCTTAGAAGAAAACATAGGAGTAAGTCTTCATGACCTTGGATTAGGCAATGGTTTCTGAGATATGACACCCAAAAGATAAGCAATAAAATAAAAAATAGATGAATTGGAATTTATCAAAATTAAAAACTTTCATGCTTCAAAAGGCTCCATCAAGAAATTAAAAAGACAACCTATGGGATAAGAGAAAATATTTGCAAATTATATATCTGATAAGAGACTTATATCTAGAATATATAGAGAACTCTGGCAACTTAACAATAAAAAGATCAATTTAAAAATGGGCAAAGGATTTGACTGGATATTTATCCAAAGAAGACATATAAATGGCCAAGAATTACATGACAAGATTCTCAATATTAGTCATTAGGGAAATGCAAATCGAAACAGCAGAGAGTACAACTTTACAGCCATTAGGATGGCTGTAATAAATAAAAGACAGATAAATAACAAATGTTGACAAGGATGCAGGGAACAACCCAATAGCCATCAACTGATATATGGAAAAGCAGCATGGAATATATCTATACAATGGAATATTGTTTGGCAATGAAAAGGGATGAAGTACAGATGTAGGCTACAATAGGTAACAACCTTGAAAACATTATGCTAAGTGAAAGAAGCCATTCACAAATGCCACATATCATGTGATTTCATTTTTATAAAATGTACAAAATTGGCAAACCTATAGGGATAGAAAATCGAATAGTATTTATTAGGGATTGTGTGGGAGGAAGGAATGGGGAATGACTGCTAATAGGTGTGAGGTTTCTTTTTAGAGTAATGAAAATATTCTGGAATTAGTAGTGATGTTTGCACAATTTTGTGACTACACTAACAAATCACTGAATTGTACACTTAGAAAATAAATCCATAAAAAAGTATGTTCCTTTATATTCCCTATTTAATAAATGGATTAATTAATTCAAGATGGATTAAAGACTTAAATGTCAGACCTAAAACCATAAAAACCCTAGAAGAAAACCTAGGCAATACCATTCAGGACATAGGCATGGGCGAGGACTTCATGTCTAAAACACCAAAAGCAATGGCAACAAAAGCCAAAATAGACAAATGGGATCTAATTAAACTAAAGAGTTTCTGCACAGCAAAAGAAACTACCATCAGAGTGAACAGGCAACCTACAGAATGGGAGAAAATTTTTGCAATCTACCCATCTGACAAAGGGCTAATATCCAGAATCTACAGAGAACTTAAACAAATTTAAAAGATAAACCAAACAACCCCAACAAAAAGTGGGTGAAGGATATGAACAGACACTTCTCAAAAGAAGACATTTATGCAGCCAATAGACACATGAAAAAATGCTCATCATCACTGGCCATCAGAGAAATGCAAATCAAAACCACAATGAGATACCATCTCACACCAGTTAGAATGGTGATCATTAAAAAGTCAGGAAACAACAGATGCTGGAGAGGATGTGGAGAAATAGGAACACTTTTACACAGTTGGTGGGAGTGTAAATTAGTTCAACCATTGTGGAAGACAGTGTGGCTATTCCTCAAGGATCTAGAACTAGAAATACCATTTGACCCAGCCATCCCATTACTGGGTATATACCCAAAGGATTATAAATCATGCTGCTATAAAGACACATGCAAACGTATGTTTATAGCGGCACTATTCACAATAGCAAAGACTTGGAACCAACCCAAATGTCCATCAATGATAGACTGGATTAAAAAAAATGTGGCACATATACACCATGGAATACTATGCAGCCATAAAAAAGGATGAGTTCATGTCCTTTGTAGGGACATGGATGAAGCTGGAAACCATCATTCTCAGCAAACTATTACAAGGACAGAAAACAAAACACCGCATGTTCTCACTCATGGGTGGGAATTGAACAATGAGAACACTTGAACACGGGGCGGGGAACGTCACACACTGGCGCCTGTCATGGGGTGGGGGCCTGGGGGAGGGATAGCATTGGGAGAAATACCTAATGTAAATGATGAATTAATGGGTGCAGCAAACCAACATGGCACGCGTATACCTACGTAACAAACCTGCACATTGTGCACTTGTACCCTAGAACTTAAAGTATAAAAATAAAAAATAAATTAAAAAAAAATATGTTCCTTTGAAATTATTAGATATTCTACAGGGAGGGGAAAGGTGATAAAAGCAGCATTTTTCAATGAATTCTAGGTCCTCTGGATTACTTTGGTTCTTCAAATGTTTGCCTGGGAACTTCTAGAATTTAAGACAATGGTGTCTGGTAGAATGTTGAGGGATCCATTCTGTTCGTTATAATTTTCTTATGTTTCTAAAATAACCCTTCAGCTAATTGATGAATTGGAGCTGATAAAGCCCTACAACTTTTAAAATTTACTTTAAAAAGACCAAAAATAGGCCAGGCATGGTGACTCACACCTGTAATCCTGGCACATTGGAAGGCTGAGGCAGGCGGATAACCTGAGGTCAGGAGTTCGAGACCAGCCTGGCCAACATGGTAAAACCCTGTCTCTACTAAAAATACAGAAATTAGCCAGGTGTGGTGGTGCATGCCTGTAATCCCAGCTACTCTGGAGCCCGAGGCAGGAGAATCACTTGAACACGGGAGGCGGAGGTTGCAGTGAGCCAAGATCGTGCCACTGCACTCCAGCCTGGGTGACAGAGTGAGATTCCTTCTCAAAGGAAAAAAAAAATTACCAAAAAACATATGTCTTTTTACTGGAAACAGGAGTACCAGTTGGAAGGGGTTCTGGCACCATCAGGGAATCACCTACCTACTTGATAACTATGAAATGGGTGGCAGGAATCATCTAGTCTAGCTCTTTCATTTTGCAGAAAAGGAAATCGAAGCCCAAAGAGGTTGTGACTTGCCTGAGGTCACCAACTGGTTGGAGAAAGTGGCCCAACTCAGGCCCAGATCTCTTTCCTTCTAGGGGAAGGCATTCCCCCAACACATTTTCTCTGTGGGGTACCCAGTCCGTCAGGGCCCAGTGAGGAAAAGAGCCCACACCATGGCATTTAACAGCAGAATCTAACACAGAGAACTGGAGACAACAGCATAAGAAGAGCTGAACAGCCTAAAGGCCATGGTAAAGCAACCCAAAGATCAATAACAGCGGGAAGCAGCTCCCACCCTTTGGATGAGAGGGACGGAAGACAGAGATGGTGTGAGGGGAGCCCAGGAGCCAAGGCCACCTGGCAGGAGGAGGAACCACAGTGGAGACACAGCCACTGTTGGGAGTGCTGCCCGAAGCAGAGAGAGAGGAACATAAATACCCTGGCTTTTCCTTTCTCTCCCCCTCGAATCCCCTAGTGCCTCCCATTGGCCTTACCTGGCAGGAAGGCCGTACGCAAGGGAGCATGGGAAATGTCTGCTATGGGAGGAACAGGATGAGGCTGAGAGCAAGTTGGCAAATGACCGGCGTGTGTTCCCTGGAACAAATGGCTAGCCCATTTGTATCTTTTACTCTCCGCAAAATATTTATGTTCGTTGAAAGAACATGAATGGATTTCATTTCGATTCTCAAGATGAAAAAAATCATTAAAGGCAAAGTATTAGTTATGTTGTATTAGGACACTTACAAACCCATTTCCAGCTTAATGTAAAAATGTTTATCTCTTCCCCGAGGACAGGCCAATGAAGTAGGTCAGGATTCTTATTTTAGAGGCAAGAAAATAGGGCCAGGAGAGAATGCGTCCCTGGCTGGAACTCTGACTCCCGAACCCAGGCCTGAGTGTGTGTTATTTGGGCAGGCTTAGTCCAGTGAACTGAAAATCAGTGAGCCTCGGATCCTGCTCTAAGCCTATGGTCTGACAGCTGAAGCCCTGTCTGGCTGTGAAGGCACATCCCCTCCTACCACTAGCTAAGTGCATTTGATGGGCTGATAATAGGAGCAGCCCTAGACGTGGAGAAGGCCTGAACTCTAGTCTTAGTTCTGCGCCAGTAAAATCTCAGGACTGTCCTATCATCTCTTTGAGTATCTTGTTTCCTCATCTATAGAACTGGGAATAAAAATTTACTCTTCCCACCTCTCAAGGTCGTTGAGAGTCAAAAATGATCATGGCTATACTACGTGAAGAGGCACACTCAAAGCCAAGTTAGCATTCCTAATATTGTTGTTCATCAACTGCAATGAACAGAACCAGCATTGCCACAAAAGGCTGTACTACTTCTCCATGTCTGGCATAACCTATTTCACAAAGGCCAGGCAGATTATAAATAGAGATACATTTCTTCTTTGGAAGTGTGGAGAGAAAACCAATTAGATTTGGATGTCAGCCTCATCTGGAAGATGGTCTCATCTTCAGTTGGTTGGTGCATTCTTCCTACTGCTCACCTAACTCATGCTGTTATTGACTCTGCTGTGAGGTCAGAGATTCAAATTCCTTCCTTCCTTCCTTCCTCTCTCTCTCTCTGTCCTTCCTTCGTTTCCCTCCCTCCCTCCCTTTCCTTCCTTCCTTCTCTCCCTCCCTCCTTTTCTTCCTTCCTTCCTTTCTTCCTTCTCTCCCTCCCTCCCTCTCTTTCTTTCTTTCTTTCCTCTTTCTTTCTTCCTTTCCTTTCTTTCCTTTCTTTCTTTTCTTTCCCTCCCTCCCTTCCTTCCTTCCTTCCTTTCTTGAGTCTCGCTCTGTTGCTCAGGATGGATTGCCAAAGTTGGAGTGCAGTGGTGCAATCTTGGCTCACTGCAACCTCCGCCTCCCAGGTTTCAGCTATTCTGCTGCCTCAGCCTCCTGAGTAGCTGGGACTACAGGTGCGTGCCACCACATTCAGCTAATTTTTGTATTTTTAGTAGAGACAGGGTTTCACCATGTTGGCCAGGCTGGTCTCGAACTCCTGACCTCAAGTGATCTGCCCGCCTTGGCCTCCCAAAGTGTTAGGATTACAGGCGTGAGCCACCATGCCTGGTGAGATTCAATATATTTCTTCTCCTGGACCCCCAGGAACCAAGAACCAAAACATGATCTTTTGTTAGCTAAAAACTTTCCTCCAAATTCATAAAACCCCTATTCCAGAAGCTTTCTCTGGGCTGTAAGCAGAATCTCCATCATCATTAAAAAATGGTACAGTGGTGCATTCCAGTTGTTCAGCTGTCTGTTTCTGAGATAGTTGAGAGGGTGTGGTGGTTAATATTAGGTGTCGACTTGATTGGATTCAGGAATGCCTAGATGGCTGGCGAAGCATTGCTCTTGGGTGTCTGGGAGGGGGTTGCCAGAGGAGACTGACATTTGAGTCTGTCGACTGGGAGAAGCAGACCCACCCTTGATATCTGTGGACACCATCCAACTGGCTGGCAGTGTGGCTAGAACAAAGCAGGCGGAAGATTGGGGAGAAGCAGCTTGCTGAGTCTCTCGCACTCTCTCTCTTTTCCTGGGCCCAGATGTTTGCTTCCCCTCCTCTTGCCCTTGGACATCAGACTCCAGGTTCTTCAGCCTTTGGACTCTGGGTCTTGCTCCAGTGGCCTCCCAGGGGCTCTCAGACTTAGGGCTGCACTGTCCGCTTCCCTGGTGTTGAGGTTCTTGGACCTGGACTGAGCCATGCTACTGGCTTCTCTCTTTCCCCAGCTTGCTGATGCCTACTGGGAGACCTCACCTTGCAATCCTGTGAGCCAGTTCTCCCTAGTACACTCCCTTTTACACACACACCGATCTGATTGGTTCTGTCCCTCTAGAGAGCCCTGACTGATACAGAGGGGCTTTGGCTGGGCTTTCTGAGCTTTTGTTTGGGCCTAAGCCAGGACTTCAGAACAAACCACGTGCTCACTACCTTACCCAAAGGCATCTCAATATTAATAAGAATAACTCTGCTTTGTCGGGTGGTTGCCATGTACAAGTCACTTTAATTTTTAATTTTTAATTTTTATTTTTGAGACAGAGTCTCACTGTCCCCCAGGCTGGAGTGCAGTGGCGCTATCTCGGCTCCCTGCAACCTCTGCCTCACGGATTCCAGGGATTCTCTTGCCTCAGCCTCCCGAGTAGCTGGGATTACAGGTGCTCGCCACCACATGCAGATTATTTTTGTATTTTTAGTAGAGACGGGGTTTCACCATGTTGGCCAGGTTGGTCTCAAACTCCTGACCTCAGGTGATCAACCTGTCTCGTCCTCCCAAAGTTCTGGGATTACAGGCATAAGCCACTGTGCCTGGCGCAAGTCATTTAAAATAGTTGACTCTCAACAAGTCTCTGCACAGTGGCAATATCATCCACATTTTACAGATGTGGAAACCGAGAGATTAAATGATGTGCTTGAGGAGGAGCCAAGATTCAAACCTGTGATCGCTTGACATCATATCAAGTACTCTCCCCAGCCTACCCTATCACTCCTTGGCACCATGGTGGCCATTTCCTTACTGTTACTTTTGTCCAGCTCACTGTCTATGAGGCAGATATAGGAACTCACTTCTCACAAGTAGCCTGTGATGGAAGTATCAGTGTGTTACTTCTGAAAAGCATGATGACCTTCTCCTTGCACCCTCTCTTGGGTTACTTGCTCTGGGGGAAGCCAGCTGCCATGTCATGAGGACACTCAAGCAGCCCTGTGGAGAGGCCCACATGGCAAGGCACTGGGCCTCCTGCCAACAGCCGGTGAGCAGCTGCCCTGTGAGGGAGTCATCTTAGAAATGGATCCCGCAACCCAGTGGAGCCTTCAGATGACCATGGTCCTGGCCAACATCTTGGCCACAACCTCAGGATAGGCCCGAAGCTAGAACCACCCAACTAAGGGCTGAGTGACCTAATGAAGGTTTATGGTTGTTTTAAGCCAATATATTAGGACTCTCCAGATAAGTAGATATATTTCACAAAAGCCAGGTAGATTATAAATGAGATTCTCTTCTTCTATGGAAGGGTGGATGGAAAACCAATAGGGCTTCTATATACCCTGGATGCCAGTCTCATCAGGAATATCTGTAGAAGTATATATTCTATATATCTATTTCTCTGGAGACTCCTATGTCTATATAAATGTAGATTTATAAGGAGGGATTTATTATGGAAATTGGCTCACGTGATTGTGGAGGCCAAGAAATACCACAATCTGTACCTGCAGGCTGGAGAACCAGGGAAGATGGTGTAATTTGGTCAGAGTACAAAGGCCTGAGAATCATGGAAGCCAATGGTGTGACCCCCATTCCAAGGCCAAGGGCTTGAGAACCACCAGGAGGTTGGGAGGCACTTGTGTCAATCCTGGAGTACAAAGGCTGGGGAACAAGGAGTGCTGATGTCCAAGGGCAGGAGAAGATGGATGTCCTAGCTCAAGAAGAGCGAGTCAATTCCCCCTTCCTCCACCTTTCTGTTCTATTCACGCCCTCAATAGATTGAATGGTGCCCACCTATGCTGGGGAGGACAGGTCTTCTTTAGTTAGTCTCCTAATTAACATGCTAATCTCTTCACAGACATGGCCAGAAATCATGTTTCACCAACTATCTGGGCATCTCTTAGCCTAGTCAACTTGACACAAGAAATTAACCATCACAGCCACTGCGTTTTGGGGTGATCTATTATATAATGATAGATAACTAATACAAACTCTTAAGTTGATCTAATTTTCTTATATTTTTCTATCTTACTAATCTTTCTGTGTATTTTTGTTTTCTATCCTGTAAGATTCCTTTGATTCTATATCTTCAGCCTCTTAATTTCAGTGATCGTATTTTTAATTTCCAAAGAAAGTTTCTTTCTTGAGCTCTGATTTCTTTTTTTCACATCATCTGTCCTTGTTTGAGGAATCTTCTCCTTCCTCTCAGAAGATGCCAATGAGTTTTTGATATTTCCCCCACTCTTTGTATTCTCTGATTTTTTGAGTTACTTGTTTCCTTTTCTGTCTTGTGTTGGAAGCTATCTTTGAGTATCGGCTGATCACTACTTGTCCATTTATATTTGGAAGAAAGGGGGTTGGAGACTTTGTGTGGCCTGGACTTTGCCCATTAGTGACTTCACTACAGGACCATGGGCGGACCACCTGCTTCTTATGTCAACATCCAAATATTAATATTTGGTGGTCTCTTGCTGGTCTGTGAAGAAGAGTCCTCTAGTCTCCTGCCTTGAGGATAAACCTGGCTATATATATGTAAATGTAGTGGGTATAAAAATTTAATGCCACACTACTCAGATGAACCAAAAAATATAATTTGTCTTCCATCATTGATCTAATCTGTCTTCTCTGGCCTCTGTCGCTATTTTGAGAAGAAAATAAATATTCTTTCAGTTTTTTCCAAGTGAAGTCATCCCTTTTAGGGCAGTTTCTTTGGAAGAGTGCTCAGTTTTTCAGGTTTCCTCTCCCTCCCTCAGCTCCTCCCTAAGATTGAGTCTGGATGTATAAGGGAGCGGTGGTGTTGATTAAAGTCTTCGGGTAGGTGTGCTGCCATCTGTACCCTCGTTGCCTGCTAATGAAGGGTGCAGGTCTGGATTTGTCCTGGGCCTGCTGTCTACTGAGGTGTGGCAGCATCTTAGGGCCTTTTGAGCCTGTCAGTGACTCCTGCTGCCGGCTCTCCTGGTTCCAGCCATTTGCATCTTATTTTCAAGTTCCGGTGCACCATCATCCCTGCGTCCTGAGCCAAGGCCTCTGCCAGTCCACCAAACCTCTGTGCCCATGCAGAGGCACAGGGGGACTTGTAAAGTCCCTGAGCTAACAGAGGCTGTAGGGGTCCAGGGACATGGCCTTGGGGGCCTCCACCCAGCCCCCTCCTACCAGCAATGCTACTCCAACCCTAGGTTGGATGAGGCTGTATAAGAACCTTCTCCTAGATTTTGTTGTTGTTGTTTTTAACTTTTATTTTAGGCTCAGGGGTAAATACACAGGTTTGTTATATAGGTGAATTGTGTGTCACAGGGCTTTGGTATACAGATTATTATGTCATCTAGGGAATAAGTCTAGTACCCGATAGGCAGTTTTTTTTATCCTCACCTTCCTCCCACCCTCCACTCTCAAGTAGGCCCTGGTATCTCTTTTTCCCTTCTCTGTGTCCATATGTACTCAGTGTTTAGCTCTGACTTGTAAGTAAGAACATGCAGTATTTGGTTTTCTATTTCTGTGTTAATTCACCTGGAATAATGACCTCCAACTCCATCCATGTTGCTGCAAAGAACATGATCTTATTCTTTATTATGGCTGCATAATATCCATGGTGTATATGTACCACATTTTCCTAATCCAGCCTACTCTTGATGGGCATTTAGGCTTATTTCATGTCTTTGCTATTGTGAATAGCGCTGCAATGAACATACATGTACATATGTCTGTTTTTTTCAAGGTTGACATGTGGCTTTGTTTCAAATGACATCAAATTATGATTTTCTTCTCCTGGATGTTTGCAGGAGCTGACAAGCTAGGAAACCATGAACCCTGATGTTTTCCTTCCTCTCAATTCACTTAACACTGTCTGTTCCAGAATTTTGGTGCACAATAGGGAAAAGAGAACTCCAGTGTCTATTTCTCCCTCAGCTCAGTTTTCCGCTGTTTCCCCCTCTTCCAGAAATGGCAAGAGATTCGTGCCAGTTCTTCCTGCTCAAAGACTGTCCCTGGGTCACAGATTGCTCCATGTCTTGATGACATTCCCTCTCCTTGAATCTTGGGCTATAATGGTGAATGGTTACAGGGAACTTTGTGTCTGAGGTGTAGTCACTTGTCAAATATTTTCAGAATGTTTTCTATGTAACATTATCCATGCTGTGATATGAACGTTCTCGATAAAGCTTTACTGGCATTTATGGAATTGCTGGGTCAAGGGTGACGAACAGTATGGAGGCTTTTGATGCATATTGTCCATTGTTGAGGGAGGTAACATAATAACCCATTATCCTCCATTACAGCAATGTGGTTTACTTAATCTGATTAGCCAGAGAGAGGGAGGATTTGAGTGTGATTCTAAACCTGTACAGTACAGCAAATCGTATCAGCGAGTTCAGTCCTGGGAAAGGGGAGGGGAGGAGCAGGGTCACCCTGAAGGCTCAGTAACCAAGGACTGGGCTGCAGCAGAAGCTTGCAGTGTAGGAAGAGGGTCCAGGAAGGAACCAAAAAGCCCTAAAGTGAAAAGTGGGCACACTTTTAGTCTCAGTCACCATCAAGGAAATTGCTAGAAACTAGAGCCCAAGGCAAATATGAATTTTGGACTCGTGTTCTAAAACAAGGCCCTTCCTGGGTAGTTCCAAGAAAAGGAAATTTAAGAAACAAAGAAATGAAAAACAACAACACTTCTCATCTGAACCTCTGACCATGTTATGTTGTTTTTTAAAACCTCTTCCCAGCAATGGTTTGTAACTCATTAAGGCTTAGAATTACTGCATCAAAGCTCTTGGCTTCTATTCATTTATCCCAACTTCTTCTTCTTTTTTTTTTGTTTTTTGGTGGGAGTCAGGGCAGGGGACTGGAATCACATTCTATCCCCCAGGCTGGAGTGCAGTGACGCGATCTGGGCTCACTGCAACCTCTGCCTCCCGGGTTCAAACGATTCTCCTGCCTCAGCCTCCCTAGTAGCGGGGGTTACAAGCGCCCATCACCACAGCTGGCTAATTTTTTTTGTATTTTTAGTAGAGACAGGGTTTCACCATGTTGGCCAGGCTGGTCTTGAACTGCCAACCTCAAATGATCCACCCGCCTCAGCCTCCCAAAGTGTTGGGATTACAGGCTTGAGCCACGCACCCGGCCCCAACTTCTTTTTAAACATTTTTTTTTAATTTTTTAATTTTTGTGAGTATAAAGTAGATGTATATATTTATGAGATACATAAGATATTTTAGTACAGGCACGCAATGGGTAATAATCACATCATGGAAAATTGAATATCCTAAGTTCTGTACCTTCGAAAACTATCAATAAATCTGTGTATTTTTAACTGATGCTGACTGCTTAGGGTTGAAAGTCCTGTCTTCTTCACTTTGTAACCTTGGGAGATTTCTTGCTCTTTGGCAAGAACCTGTAGGTTTAAGCCTTAGACTACTACAGGGAAACCCACATGTAGCACTGCACACTCATTAAAGTCTTGCGTCACTTAACAACAGGGATACATCTTGAGGCCGGGCGCGGTGGCGCACACCTGTAATCCCAGCACTTTGGGAGGCCAAGGTGGGCGGATTACTTGAGGTCAGGAGTTTGAGACCAGCCTGGCCAACATGGTGAAACCCTGTCTCTACTAAAAATACAAACATTAGCTGGGTGTAGTGGCAGGTGCCTGTGATACCAGCTACTCATGAGGCTGAGGCAGGAGAATCACTTGAACCTGGGAGGCGGAGGTTGCAGTGAGCTGAGATCACACCACTGCACCCCAGCCTGCGCGACAGAACGAGACTCTGTCTCAAAAGATAAAAACTAAAAAAAGCAGGGATACATTTTTGGAAATGCCTCATTAGGCAATTTCATCATTACGTGAACATCATAGGACTGTGCTTACACACACCTAGATGGTCTAGGCTACTACACAGCTAGGCTAGGCGGTATAGCCTACTGCTCCTAGGCTACCTGTGTAGCATGTGACTGTACTGGATACTGTAGGCAATTGTAACACGATGGTAAGTATTTGTGTATCTAAACGTAAGAAAAGGTACAGTAAAAATACAGTATGAAATAAAAAATGATACACCTGTCCAGGCACTCACCATGAATGGAGCTTGCAGGACTGGAAGTTGCCCTGGGTGAGTCAATCAGTGAGTGGTGAGTGAATCTAAAGGCCTAGGACATTACTGCATACTACTGTAGCCTTTATAAATGCTGTACACTTAGACTACACTGTTTATTAAAAAAATTTTATGGCCGGGCACAGTGGCTCACGCCTGTAATCCCAGCACTTTGGGAGGCCAAGGTGGGTGGATCACAAGGTCAGGAGTTTGAGGCCAGCCTGGCTGATATGGTGAAACCCCATCTCTACTAAAAAAATACAAAAGGTAACCAGACGTGGTGGTAGGCCTGTAGTCCCAGCTACTTGGGAGGCTGAGGCAGGAGAATCACTTGAACCTTTGAGGCAGAGGTTGCAGTGAGCTGAGATCTCGCCACTGCACTCTAGTCTGGGTGACAGAGCAATACTCCATCTCAAAAAAAAAATTATTTCTTTAATAATAAATTAATCTTAGCTTACCATAAATTTTTACCTTATAAACCTTTTACTTTTTCAACTTCTTTACTGTTTTATAACAACACTTAGCTTAAAATACAAACACATTGTTCAGCTCTATAAAAATATTTTTTCTTTCTTTATATCCATACTCTATAATCTTGTTTCTTTTTAAAAAAATTTATTTTTTACTTTTTGAACTTTTTTTGTTAAGAGTGAAGAAACAAGCACACACATTATGAGCCCAGGCCAACACAGGGTTAGGATCATCAGGATGTCACCAGGCAATAGGAATTTTTCAGTTTGATTATACTCTTATGGGACCACTGTTGTGAATGGCATCCATTATTGACCAAAATGTCATTATGCAATAAATAACTGTAAATCAGAATCTCTGGGGTAGGGCCTAAGCATTGGTATTTTTAAACATTTTGTGTGTGTGTGTGTGTGTGTGTGTGTGTGTGTGTGTGTGTGTGTGTATTTTTAGAGACAGGCAAAAAAATATGTATATATGTTTTTTATCCCATGCTGGAGTATAGTGGTGCAATCGTAGCTCACAGTAGCCTCAACCTCCTGGGCTCAAGCAATCCTCCTGCCTCAGCTTGGCTGTTTTTCTTTTCATTTTTTGTAGAGATGGAGTCTGACTATGTTACATTTTTTAATGAATAGACTTTATTATTTTTTAGTAGTTTTAGGTTTACAAGAAAATCTAGCAGAAAGTAGAGAGTTCCTACCTACCTGTTCTCCTAGTTTCCCCTGTTATTAACGTCTGATATTAGTGTGATACATTTGAAGTAATTACTGAGTCAGTACAGATACATTATTAGAAACTAAGGTTTATTGTTTACATTGGGGTCACTCTTGGTACTGTACATTCAGTGGGTTTGGACAAATGTCTAACTATATGTATCTACCATTATAGTATCATACAGAATACTTTCACTGTCCTGAAAATCTCCTGTGCTCTGTTTTATTCTTTTCTCTCTCCTCCCCCCTATATCCCAGGCAACTGCTATCTTTTTACTGTCTCCATAGTTTTGCGCTTTTCAGAATGTCGTATATTTGGAATCATATAGTATATAGTCTTTTCAGATTGGCTTATTTCACTTAGCAATATGCATTTAATGTTTCTCCATGTCTTTTCACGGGTTGATTGTGCACTTCTTTTTATCACTGAATAATATCCCATTGTCTGGATGTACCACAGTTTGTTTTGCCATTCACCTATTGAAGGATATCTTGGTTGCTTCTAAATTTTAGTGATGATATGATTTGGCTGTGTCCCCACCCAAATCTCATCTTGAATTGTAACTCTCACAATTGCCACATGTTGTGGGAAGAACCACGTGGGAGGTAATTGAATCATGGGGGCAGGTCTTTCCCATGCTGTTCTTGTGATAGTGAATAAGTCTCACAAGATCTGATGGTTATAAAAACTGGAGTTTCCCTACATAAGCTCTCTCTCTTTGCCTGCTGCCATCCATGTAAGATATGACTTACTCCTCCTTCCTTTCTGCCATGATTGTGAGGCTTGCCCAGCCACGTGGAACTGTAAGTTCATTAAACGTCTTTCTTTTGTAAATTGCCCAGTCTCGAGTATGTCTTTATTGGCAGCCTGAAAATGGACTAATACAAGCCATTGTGAATAAAACTTCCATAAACATACCTGTGCAGTTTTCTTTGTGTGGACATACGTTTCCAGTCATTTGGGTAAATACCTATGAGTGCAATTGCGAATCATATGGTAAGAGTATGTTTAGCTTTGTGAGAAACTACCAAACTGTCTTCCAAAGTGGCTGCACCATTTTGTATTTCACCAGTAAAGAATGAGAGTTCCCACTGCTCCACATCCTGGCCAGCATTTGTTGTTATCAGTGTCTTGGAATTCAGCATTTCTAATAGGTATGCAGTGGTATCTCATTGTTTTAATCTGCAATTCCCTAATGACATCTATATTGAGCATCTTTTCATATGCTAATTTTCCATTGTTTTAATCTGCAATTCCCTAATGACATCTATATTGAGCATCTTTTCATATGCTAATTTTCCATCTGTATATTTTCTTTGGTGAAGTGTATGTTCAGATCTTTTGCTCATTTTTAAGTTGGGTTGTTTGTTTTCTTATTGTTGAGTTTGAAACGTTCTTTCTTTGCATATTTGGGGTACCAATCCTTTATCAGCTATGTGCTCTGCAAATATTTTCTCCTAGTCTTGTCTTTTCATTATCTTAATGGTGACTTTTGCGGATCAGAAATTTTTAACTTTAATGAAGTCCAACTTATCAATTTTTTTTTTCTTTAGACATACCACTGGGTTAAGATCCCATGCTCAAATTAAAGAGTAAATATGGCCTGGCTGCACATTCACTTTACCACTGGTCTCAAGGCGTTTCCCTGGGAAATTCATTTCCCTGGATCCTGAGTAGGAAATACCCTGTCATGTCTTCACTGCAGATGACTGTCTGAAAGCACACATAGTCATGAGAAAGGGAACTGGCCAGGGTGATCTGGGGTTCAGTCCTCCTAAGGTGGGCCAGGTGCGGTGGCTCATGCCTGTAATCTCAGCACTTAGAGAGGCCCCAGCAGGTGGATCACCTAAGGTCAGGAGTTTGAGACCAGCCTGGCTAACATGGCAAAACCCCATCTCTAATAAAAATTAAAAAAAAATTAGCCAGGTGTGGTGCCAGGCACCTGTAATCCCAGCTACCAGGGAGGCTGAGAAAGGAGAATCTCTTGAACCTGGGAGGCGGAGTTTTCAGTGAGCCGAGATTGTGCCACTTCACTATAGCCTGGGCAACAGAGTGAGACCCTATCTTAAAAAAAAAAAGACAGTCCTCCTAAGGTGAAGAGAATGGACAGGGCTGGAAATGGAAAGGAGAGGGTGGAGACAGAGCTCTGGGTTGGACATAATTGTTAGGACAATTTGGGGCTGAAGGCAGGGCCAGTCCTAGCTATTTTAACACATGCTGTGCCTTCCACAGCCTGGTCTGAATTTGTATTTTTCTTTTTTTTCCCTCATAAGCTTGGTGTCTCCTTCACAAGCTGGGATTCATTGAAAGATTCATGACTTCTTTTTAAATTACTTAAAAAAGATTCCAAGACATGTGCACATTTCACTAGTATGATGAAGTGGGAGTTGGGAGCCATGTTTATGGATGGGAAAAGCAAAGCGATTTTAACAGAATGAAGAATGCAAAAGAAAACAAGAATACATACTTGGGCCCTCCCACTGAAGGCAGCCATGTGGCTCCTTAATCTATCCCAGACGTCACAGCTTTCAGCAGAGAGTGGGGAATCTGTCCCATGAGACCAGCATGCCCTGTGAGTTACAATAAATGCCCACAGTGATCACAAAGTGGGAGAAGGGCCTTTTCTTCTGCAGTCATGGATTCACCTCTCGTCAGTCTCGGGGCATCCTGCTGGGTGATCCTGATTCTTTTTGTCCTTGTGCCTCAGCTCCTATTAGAGATCTCAGGGAGATACCTGGGAACGCAAACTTCTCTGAGCTGCTGGAGTGATGATGCAGTCCCTCTTTGTGTGTCTTTGAGAATGTCATTGTGGGAACGCAATTGGTGGGTAGTTGAAAGAAGGTTATGACAGCCCCTGAACTCACTTAGGAGGTGGCACTGATTGAATCAGAGCTAGACCACTTAAAATCATCTTTCCACAATTTTCTTTTGTTGGGGTGGTGATAAAATACACATAACGTGAAATTTACCACTGTAACCATTTTTTTGTTTTGTTTTGTTGTTTTGTTTTTTTGTTGTTGTTGTTTTGTTTTTTTCTGAGACAGAGTCTTGCTCTGTCGCCCAGGCTGGAGTACAGTGGCACGATCTCGGCTCACTGCAACCTCCGCCTTCCCGGGTTCAAGCAATTCTCCTTCCTCAAACTCCTGAGTAGCTGGGACTACAGGCGCGTGCCACCACACTCTGCTAATTTTTC